>NC_000022.11:12027555-12225588 GCF_000001405.40 Homo sapiens
GAATTCTGATCCGTTTGAGGCTTATGGTGAAAGAGAAATATCTTCCCATAAAAACTAGACGGAAGCATTCCAAGAAATTGTTTGTGATGTGTCCATTCATGTCACAGAGTTGAACCTCTCCTTTGATTGATCAGTTTGGAAACAGTCTTTTTGTAGAACCTGCAGAGGGATATTTGTGAGCCCTTTAAGGCCTGTGGTGAAATACGAAGTATCTTCACCTAAAAACTAGACAGAAGGTTACTGAGAAACTTCTTGGTGATGTGTGCCTTCATCTCACCGTGTTGAACCTTTCTTTTGATTGAGCAGTTTGGAAAGTCTTTCTGTAGAATCTGCAAATGGATATTTGGAGATATTTGAGGCCCGTGGTGAAAAAGGAAGTATCGTCACCTAAAAACCAGACAGAAGATTTCTGAAAAACCTCTTTGTGATGTGTGAATTCATGTCACAGAATTCAACCTTTCTGTTGAATACTTAGACCTTAGAATTATTTCTAAGACTCAAATGTATAGAGCAGATCTCTGATATTAAGGGTATGACCCTCAAAGGTGAGCCAAAATTGGTAATTGTGGGATTATTTTGGGAGGAATCATCATAGATTCTTACTGCTATAAATACAGTCAAATGTTAGATAAATATACTCCACGAAATGTTTTCTAGGAATGATGTTGGAACCAATGTTGGTAATTTTGAAGTCTTGGAGAGGATTTCAGTTGATAGAAGTCTGGCAACTATCCCAAGTTTAATAAATAAGCAAATGGTGAGTTCCAAAAATGCTGTATTAATGAGCCTCATATTGATCCTGAGCACAATTTCAGGAAGGTCCATTAAATGGGTCTTTGGAGAGCACTTAGGATAAAAGGCTGGCAGCAGGGATTCACTAAGAGCAATGGTGCCAAGATTGCCTCTTTGACATTGTTATGTGCCTGTAAAGGTAGGCTATAGCGGTACACAATACAGATATTTCCAGGGTAAAGCTGTTGAGCTGCTGTAATTTTCCTTGCCTCTTCACTATCTTCTCCTATAGTTGACTCCCAAGGAACAGATAGTTGACTTTTAATCTAGAAATGTATGTTAATTGGCAAAGACAAACAAATGAAACCATAAACTATCCTTTAGGCTTCTCTCTGCTCAGTTATTAGATCATATGAATGTGCCCTTAGGAAACACAGAAGGCCCACACTATTATAGGGACAAATTTCTTACATTCTCTGATGTTTAATGCTCTTCAAAAGACTTACCATACTGCACTAATTTGATTATCAACTACTTTAACACAGGGACCAATGTGCTTATTAAAAATTTTGCATATTATGAGGGCATTAACTTTTAAGTATTCGATTGTTAAGACAATGCATATTATTATAAACCATAGAAGGCACACTTATTACCTCCTTAAGAACCAGTCTCTATTTCTCTGGTTCCTAGATCTCCAAGGTCATAGAGGGATTGGATATTTGTGTCTTCAATTGGCCCTCTTCAGCCCTAGGATAAATAGTGATTAATCTAAGCCAATGGTTTTCGGCTCTGTCTGACCCAATGCCTCTACTTCATAAGAAATTCTTCAAAGACCCCTTCACTATTCTAAACTATTAGTGAGAACACAATGTATGCATTCAAGTTGTTGAAAATATTAATGTTATGCTGAAGCTAACAAAGGAGAAATAATTTACTGTCAATATATGATCCAAAATGTATATAATTGTGCCAGAACATTTACATCTCAAATACAATAGAACATATTGAAATTTTCATATCTTCACCCATACCTTGAAACATTGTAAATAAAAAGCCACAAATATAGTTTCATTGAATAACCAAATGCCAAAACTGCCATTTCTATTGTTGACATGATTGATCTGCATTGGTAAATGTAATAGATACTTTCTGTTTGACCCTTGTCCCCTGTTATACTCCCCTATTTACTGGCTTTTGTCCAAGTGGAATGGTCCATATTGAATATCTCAATCGGTTCCCTTGCTCATTGCCTTCTATGCATGTTCATGAGATTAAAGGGAAGGAGGAAATGGGATTGGGTTATTGCCTAAACTCTCTCTCTGCTAGGTCTCCTTGACCAATCTTTTTCATAAGAAAATTAGTGTTTCCTTGTGTGATCAGGGCAGTTTACTCCCCAGAATTCTGCCTGCTGCTACTAACCCAGAGTTATTGTGGGGTGTGATTTCTGTGATTCCTTCACCCTTCTCCCCTGACATTTTCGTAAGTAGTATCTTTGGAAATAAACCCATGTTAAATTATCTTAGTTTGTGTGTGTTCTATTTTAAAAATGTATTTAATACCTAACTTACTGAATATCACAGCTTAGCCTGGCATACTTTAATGTGCTCAGAACACTTACATCAGCTGACAATTGGGCAAAATCATTGAATACAAAACCCACTTTATAATAAAGTATTGGATATTTTATGTAATTTGTTGAATATTGTACTGAAAGTGAAAAGCAGAATGGTTATATTCTATTCAAAGCTATCACTTTTGCTTCATCATAAAGTAAAAAAAAAATCATAAATTGAACCATTATAAGTTGTTGACCATCTGTGTATATGTATGTGTGTGTGTACCTATATAAACATGTATGTTTATATATATATTTGTGTGTGTATATATCCTCGGTGTGTGTGTATGTGTGTTTGAGAGTGTGTGTGTGTGTGTATGATATTGTAGGAAAGTAAAATTTCTTATCTTATAGATATAGCATGTTAACATGTTGGTACCTATCCTCCTGAGATGTAAAATTTTACATGGATAGATGTGTACATTTACCGTTGTACACAAAGAGAAACATATTCTGTAGGCTCTTTGTTTTTCTGCAGTTTCATTCAACACTATCTGGTTTATATGGATGATTACATATATAATGCTAGGATGAAGGTTCTTCTCTATAACTTTGAAACTTCCTTGATTATCAACCCTTGGTAAATTCTTAGAATAGGATTTTATTTTAGAATTAAGATCCTTGTTTCAGGACTCTAGACTGTTAACACACAGAGCCAGTAATTATTCAGAATGGTTGGGTTAGTTCACATTCCCACAGATGAGACATCAAATGTCCAGGCTGCACAGCCTCATTAACACTAGATTTTCTGGAGATTTTATATAGTATTTCATCTGATATAAAAAGTAGAATTCTAAATTAATTATGGTTGTTAATTTATTTTTATCTTTTTAGTCATTATGAAAATGTTTAACTATATGAAAAGCTAGGAAAGAGTTTTATTTTTTAAGGTGGTACTTCAGAAATATTTGCGATACTTAATTTTTAAAAATTAACTCTAAAAAATCTTGAAATGTCTGTTTAATGAAATAGGACATAAATACTGGTCACATTAGTGAAAAATATTTGTTTAAAATTAAAATATCTGTATCAATCCTGTAGATATTAATAATTTTTAAAGAATGACATCTTCAAAATATAAATGTTTTAAACTTATAATCAGTTAAATATGTCTCAATACATATAGATACATATATCTAAATATATTTGAAGACTTCAAATTCCAGGTACAATATAATTCTTTTCTATCCTGTGATTTGTCATTCAGTATTTTGTAATTTGAACAGAAATATTTTGCCCTAACCACATGTCTGTATTTTCTCTTACCTAAAAATGTTATTTTATGCAAAATTGTTTTAAAGGTCAGTTTGCATGTTTGAAAGCATCTTGTAGAATGTTACATAATATATTGCATATTTGGTTACATTGTTTTAACTGTGTAAATATGGTTTAAATCTATGATGCTCTTTAGTGCTGATCATGATGCAAAGCAAATTTATCTGTATAAAAGTCTCCTGTTAATTTTTTTATTATTATATTTTAAGTTTTAGGGTACATGTGCACAACGTGCGGGTTTGTTAGATATGTATACATGGGCCATGTTGGTGTGCTGCACCCATTAACTCGTCATTTAATATTAGGGATATCTCCTAATGCTATCCTTCCCCCCTCCCCCCACCCCACAACTGTCCCCAGTGTGTGATGTTCCCCTTCCTGCATCCATGTTTTCTCATTGTTCTATTCCCACATATGAGTGAGAACATGTGGTGTTTGGTTTTTTTTCCTTGCACTGGTTTGCTGAGAATGATGGTTTCTAGCTTCATCCATGTCCCTACAAAGGACATGAACTCAACATTTTTTATGGCTGCATGGTATTCCATGGTGTATATGTGCCACGTTTTCTTAATCCAGTCTATCATTGTTGGACATTTGTATTGGCTCCAAGTCTTTGCTATTGTGAATAGTGCAACAATAAACATACATGTGCTTGTGTCTTTATAGCAGCATGATTTATAATCGTTTGGGTATATACCCAGCAATGGGATGGCTGGGTCAAATGGTATTTCTAGTTCTAGATCCCTGAGGAATCCCCACACCGAGTTCCACAATGGTTGAACTAGTTTACAGTCCCACCAACAGTGTAAAATTGTTCCAATTCTCCACATCCTCTCCAGCACCTGTTGTTTCCTGACTTTTTAATGATCGCCATTCTAACTGGTGTGAGATGGTTTCTCATTGTGGTTTTGATATGCATTTCTCTGATGGCCAGTGATGATGAGCATTTTTTCATGTGTCTTTTGGCTGCAAATTGTCTTCTTTTGAGAAGTGTCTGTTCATTACCTTTGCCCACATTTTGGTGGGGTTGTTTTTTTCTGGTGAATTTCTTTGAGTTCATTGTAGATTCTGGATATTAGCCCTTTGTCAGATGAGGAGGTCGCAAAACTTTACTCCCATTCTGTAGGATGCCTGTTCACTCTGATAGTGGTTTCTTTTGCTGTGCAGAACCTCCTTAGTTTAATTAGATCCCATTTGTCAATTTTGTCTTTCGTTGCCATTGTTTTTGGTGTTTTAGACATGAAGTCCCTGCCCATGCCTATGTCCTGAATGGTATTGCCTGGTTTTTCTTCTAGGGTTTTTATGGTTTTAGGTCTAACATGTAAGTCTTTAATCTATCGTGAATTAATTTCTGTATAAGGTGCAAGGAAGGGATCCAGTTTCAGCTTTCTACATATGGCTAGCCAGTTTTCCCAGCACCATTTATTTAATAGGGTATCCTTTCCCTAGTTCTTGTTTTTGTCAGGTTTGTCAAAGATCAGATAGTTGTAGATATGTGGCATTATTTCTGAGGGCTCTGTCCTGTTCCATTGGTCTATATCTCTGTTTTGGTACTAGTACTATGCTGTTTTGGTTACTATAGCCTTGTAGTATAGTTTGAAGTCAGGTAGCATGATGCCTCCACCTTTGTTCTTTTGGCTTAGGATTGACTTGGCAATGTGGGCTCTTTTTTGGTTCCATATGAACTTTAAAGTAGTTTTTTCCAATTCTGTGAAGAAAGTCATTGGTAGCTTGATGGAGATGGAATTGAATCTATAAATTACCTTGGGCAGTATGGCCATTTTCACGATATTGATTCTTCCTACCCATGAGCATGGCATGTTCTTCCATTTGTTTGTATCCTTTTTTATTTCATTGAGCAGTAGTTTGTAGTTCTCCTTGAAGAGGTCCTTCACTTCCCTTGTAAGTGGTATTCCTAGGTATTTTATTTTCTTTGAAGCAATTGTGAATGGGAGTTCACTCATGATTTGGCTCTCTGTTTGTCTGTTATTGGTGTATAAGAATGCTTGTGATTTTTGAACATTGATTTTGTACCCTGAGACTTTGCTGAAGTTGCTTATTAGCTTAAGGAGATTTTGGGCTGAGACAATGGGGTTTTCCACATACGCAGTCATGTCATCTGTAAACAGGGACAATTTGACTTCCTCTTTTCCTAATTGAATGCCCTTTATTTCCTTCTCCTTCCTGATTGCCCTGGCCAGAACTTCCAACACTATATTGAATAGGAGTGGTGAGAGAGGGCATCCCTGTCTTGTGCCAGTTTTCAAAGGGAATGCTTCCAGTTTTTGTCCATTCAGTATGATATTGGCTGTGGGATTGTCATAGATAGCTCTTATTATTTTGAGATACGTCCTATCAATCCCTAATTTGTTGAGAGTTTTTAGCGTGAAGGTTTGCTGAATTTTGTCAAAGGCCTTTTGTGCATCTATTGAGATAATCATGTGGTTTTTGTCTTTGGTCCTGTTTATATGTTGGATTACGTTTACTGATTTTCATATGTTGAACCAGCCTTGCATCTCAGGGATGAAACCCGCTTGATCATGGTGGATAAGCTTTTTTATGTGTTACTGGATTCGGTTTGCCAGTATTTTATTGAGGATTTTTGCATCAATGTTCATCAAGGATATTGGTCTAAAATTCTCTTTTTTTTTGTTTTGTCTCTGCCAGGCTTTGGTATCAGGATGATGCTGGCCTCATAAAATGAGTTAGGGAGGATTCCCTCTTTTTCTATTGATTGGAATAGTTTCAGAAGGAATGGTACCAGTTCCTCCTTGTACCACTGGTAGAATTCGGCTGTGAATCCATCTGGTCCTGAACTTTTTTTGGTTGGTAAGCTATTAATTATTGCCTCAATTTCAGAGCGTGTTATTTGTCTATTCAGAGGTTCAACTTCTTCCTGGTTTAGTCTTGAGAGAAAATATGTGTCAAGGAATTTATCCATTTCTTCTAGATTTTCTAGTTTATTTGCGTAGAGGTGTTTATAGTAGTCTCTGATTGTAGTTTGTATTTCTGTGGGATCAGTGGTGATATCCCCTTTGTCAATTTTTATTGCATCTATTTGATTCTTCTCTCTTTTCTTCTTTATTAGTCTTGCTAGTGGTCTGTCAATTTTGTTGATCTTTTCAAAAAAACAGCTTCTGGATTCATTGATTTTTTGAAGGGTTTTTTGTGTCTCTATTTCCTTCAGTTCTGCTCTGATCTTAGTTACTTCTTGCCTTCTGCTAGCTTTTGAATGTGTTTGCTCTTGCTTCTCTAGTTCTTTTAATTGTGATGTTAAGATGTCAATTTTATTTCTTTCCTGCTTTCTCTTGTGGGCATTTAGTGCTGTAAATTTCCCTCTTCACACTGCTTTGAATGTGTCCCCGAGATTCCGGTATGTTGTGTCTTTGTTCTTGTTGGTTTCAAAGAACATCTTTATTTCTGCCTTCATTTCCTTATGTACCCAGTAGTCATTCAGGAGCAGGTTGTTCAGTTTCCATGTAGTTGAGTGGTTTCGAGTGAGTTTCTTAATCCAGAGTTGTAGTTTGCTTGCACTGTGGTCTGAGAGACACTTTGTTATACTTTCTGTTCTTTTACATTTGCTGAGGAGTGCTTTACTTCCAACTATGTGGTCAATTTTGGAATAGGTGTGGTGTGGTGCTGAAAAGAATACATATTCCGTTGATTTGGGATAGAGAGTTCTGTAGATGTCTATTAGGTCTGCTTGGTGCAGAGCTGAGTTCAATTCCTGGATATCCTTGTTGACTTTCTGTCTCGTTGATCTGTCTAATGTTGACAGTGGGGTGTTAAAGTCTCCCATTATTATTTTGTGGGCGTCTAAGTCACTTTGTAGATCACTAAGGACTTGCTTTATGAATCTGGGTGCTTCTGTATTGTGTGCATATATATTTAGGATAGTTAGTTCTTGTTGAATTGAACCCTTTACCATTATGTAATGGCCTGCTTTGTCTCTTGATCTTTGGTGGTTTAAAGTCTGTTTTATCAGAGACTAGGATTGCAACCCCTGCCTTTTTTTGTTTTCCATTTGCTTGGTAGATCTTCCTCCATCCCTTTATTTTGAGCCTATGTGTGTCTCTGCAGGTGAGAATGGTTTCCTGAATACAGCACACTGATGGATCTTGACTCTTTATCCAATTTGCCAATCTGTGCCTTTTAATTGGAGCATTTAACCCATCTACATTTAAGGTTAGTATTGTTATGTGTGAATTTGATCCCGTCATTATGATGTTAGCTGGTTATTTTCCTCGTTAGTTGATGCAGTTTCTTCCTAGCCTTGACGGTCTTTACAATTTGGCATGTTTTTGCAATGGCTGGTACCAGTTGTTCCTTTCCATGTTTAGTGCTTCCTTCAGGAGCTCTTTTAGGGCAGGCCTGGTGGTGACAAAATCTCTCAGCATTTTCTTGTCTGTGGAGTATATTATTTCTCCTTCACTTATGAAGCTTAGTTTGGCTGGATATGAAATTCTGGGTTGAAAATTCTTTTCTTTAAGAATATTGAATATTGGCCCTTACTCTCTTCTGGCTTGTAGAGTTTCTGAGGAGAGATCAGCAGTTAGTCTGATGGGCTTCCTTTTGTGGGTAACCTGACCTTTTTCTCTGGCTGCCTTTAAAATTTTTTCATTCATTTCAACTTTGGTGAATTTGACAATTATGTGTCTTGGAGTTGCTCTTCTCGAGGAGTATCTTTGTGGCATTCTCTGTATTTTCTGAATTTGTATGTTGGCCTGCCTTACTAGATTGGGGAAGTTCTCCTGGATAATATCCTGCAGAGTGTTTTGCAACTTGGTTCCATTCTCCCCATCACTTTCAGGTACACCAATTAGACATACATTTGGTCTTTTCACATAGTCCCATATTTTCTTGGAGGCTTTGTTCATTTCTTCTATTCCTTTTTCTCTAAACTTCTCTTCATGCTTTATTTCATTCATTTCGTTTTCCATCGCTGATACTCTTTCTTCCAGTTGATCACATCGGTTACTGAGGCTTATGCATTTGTCATGTAGTTCTTGTGCCATGGTTTTCAGCTCCATCAGGTCCCTTAAGGACTTCTCTGCATTTGTTATTCTAGTTATCCATTCGTCTAATTTTTTTTTCAAATTTTTAACTTCTTTGCCATTGGTTTGAACTTACTCCTTTAGCTCGGAGTACTTTGATCTTCTGAAGCCTTCCTCTCTCAACTCGTCAAAGTCACACTCCGTCCAGCTTTGTTCCATTGCTGGTGAGGAGCTGCATTCCTTTGCAGGAGGAGAGGCACTCTGATTTTTAGAGTTTCCAGTTTTTCTGCTCTGTTTTTTCCAATCTTTGTGGTTTTATCTTCCTTTGTTCCTTGATGATGGTGACATACAGATGGATTTTTGGTGTGGATGTCCTTTCTGTTTGTTAGTTTTCCTTCTAACAGTCAGGACCCTCAGCTGCAGGTCTGTTGGAGTTTACTGGAGGTCTACTCCAGACACTATTTGCCTGGGTATCAGCAGCGGTGGCTGCAGAACAGTGGATAGTGGTGAACTGCAAATGCTGCTGCCTGATCGTTCCTCTGGAAGTTTTGACTCAGAGGGGTACCCAGCCATGTGAGATGTCAGTCTGCCACTACGGGGGGGTGCCTCCCAGTTAGGCTACTCAGGGGTCAGGAACTCACTTGAGGAGCCTGTCTGCCTGTTCTCAGATCTCAAGCTGCATGCTGGGAGAACCACTACTCTCTTCAAAGCTGTCAGACAGGGACATTTAAGTCTGCAGGGGTTATTGCTGTCTTTTGTTTGTCTGTGCCCTGCCCCCAGAGGTGGAGCCTAAGGAGGCAGGCTGGCCTCCTTGAGCTGTGTTGGGCTCCACCCAGTTCGAACTTCCTGGCTGCTTTGTTTACTTACTCAAGCCTGAGCAATGGCGGGCGCCCCTCCCCCAGGTCCACTGTAACCTTGCAGTTTGATCTCAGACTGCTGTGCTAGCAAACAGCGAGGCTCCGTGGGTGTAGGATCCTCCAAGCCAGGTGCTGGATACAATCTCCTGGTGTGCCATTTGATAAGCCTGTTGGAAAAGCGCAGTATTAGGGTGGGAGTGACCTGATTTTCCAGATGCCATCTGTCACCTCTTTCTTTGACTAGGAAAGGGAATTCCCTGACCCATTGTGCTTCCCAGGTGAGGTGATGCCTTGCCCTGCTTTGGCTCATGCATGGTGTGCTGCACCCACTGTCCAGCACTCCCCATTGAGATGAACCTTGTACCTCAGTTGGAAATGCAGATATCACCTGTCTTCTGCATCACTGACGCTGGGAGGTGTAGACTGGAGCTGTTCCTATTCGGCCATGTTGCCTCCATCCACTAATTTTTAACTTTCAAATGATTAGATACATTTACCCTCTTCTGAATTTTAATTCCTGATGAAAAGATTGTGAAATCTCAAGAGGATAATGAATCAGCTTCTGATTACATTCTGGAATTACGATTTGATCACCCATCCAAGAATGCATATTCACTTTCCTTTACATTACACACATGCATAATACCATGCTGAGTGATGCTGGAAAAAGTGAGTCTTCAGTAATGCCCTCATGAAATTACAGTCTCACTACACCGAGGTATTTTCTTTTTAACCCTTTTTTTCTTTTCTGCTGTGAATATGTGCCTTCTAAGAGGTGAACAACTGGGAAAAACTGAAAAAGAACCTTCATCTAATTCAGTAACTAGCTTTTGTATCTTCTAAGAATTTTTATCTCCAGAAAGCTCTAATCTTCATTCCTTTACAAGCTTTATTTCTCTCTCCTTTCCAACACCAGACTTTTCTCTGTTTGTTTTCTATACCTTTTTTAGAGATGCCTACAATAGAAAAAAACTATGACATATTCAATACATCTGAAAAGTTTGCATTGCCATAGATAAGAATGAATTGTCTGTTTATAAAGAAAAAAAATAAAAATATGAACCAAGAAAGCACAGAAGGTAGTAACCACATTTAGATGTTTATCATGGAATCATCTTTATAATCCATCTGTTACAATTCCACAGAGCAAATTACAAGTAATTGTGAAGTTTCCCCTCATTTTATAGGTTTGGTCTTATAAGGCATACAACACAAATTTTAATTACTTTTCTTTTTGGTATTTGGATCTTAATTTGGTCAAGTGGCCACTGGGTAGATAATGGAGCCTCTTGAGACATACAGTCTTCTAGCTTTGTTGATGTAAATATTACTGTGTAGTTTTCATTCACTTATTATTTTACAAGGCATGCTTCATTAAAAATATGTCAGCATCTCATTGACAAATCACAAAATTTAAAAGGCACAAGAAAAAAACAATTTATTTGAAACATTCCTGTGTAAAAGTAGTCACCACTCTTACTATTCCTCAAATATTTTTATTATATTTAAACACAAGCCTAGTTTTACCTCGAGTGTCTGACCTTGATGATATTGTACACTTTAAACTTAGAAAAAAAATTGAACTCTATTGGAAATTTCCTACAGATCAGCTTTTCTAGATGCCAAGCGCCTTGTTTCAGCTGCGGTGATGACAGCAAATTGGGTTCTCAGGGATTCTGGCCTCTGGCATCATCTCAGTTGTTTATAATTGAAGTTGGCTCTGATGAGAACTCAGCTTAGATGCATGGTTGTACTGCTGGGCTTAAGGCTGGCCTGCCAGGAGGTTGCATTGAGGTGTAACTAGGCAAAGAAAGAAGGAGTTTATTGAGGCACTACTGACAATAGCAAAGACTTGGAACCAACCCAAATGTCCAACAATGATAGACTGGATTAAGAAAATGTGGCACATATACACCATGGAATACTATGCAGCCATAAAAAGGATGAGTTCATGTCCTTTGTAGGGACAAGGATGAAGCTGGAAACCATCATTCTCAGCAAACTATCACAAGGACAAAAAAACAAACACCACATGTTCTCACTCATAGGTGGGAATTAAACAATGAGTACTCATGGACACAGGAAGGGGAACATCACACACTGGGGCCTGTTGTGGGGTGACAGGCTAGGGGAGGAAAAGCATTAGGGGATATACCTAATGTAAATGACGAGTTAATGGGTGCAGCACACCAACATGTCACATGTATACATATGTAATGAACCTGCACGTTGTGCACATGTACCCTAGAACTTAAAGTATAATAAAAATAAGAAGGAGGTTGGGCAAAATTACCAACAATCTTCAACTATGAATTTTTATGAGTAGGGGCTTCCCACACCATCAGGCACTCCAAGTTGGAGAAACAAGGGATGTTGAATTGAAAGTTTAATTTTTTAGGCTTGATAGTCAGATTAGGAAAGTTTTGGGTACACCTTTCCCACTCTAGAGCCCTCTCCCTAACTCACGGCCAATTTGGGACATGGGCTCAATGGAAAAGAGTGCTGAGATCAATTAGAAATATCCTTCATGAACATAGGAGGCAGGCATTCTGGCCAAGGGGTGCGTCTTCCCACTTTGTAATCCAGAGTGCGATTTCTTCTTGCTATCTGTCCCTCTGTAAATAAGCGTTGGGTGAAGGACAAGCTAGTTACAACTGAGGATGGAATGAGATTCTAGCAGAATTGCAAAATGAACTGAGAGCCACGAAAGTGTTCCTGTGTGAACCAGCAGAGAGATCTGTGGAAGGCAAAGGAAGAGGAGCCAAGAGGCCAGATAACATTCCTGCTTCCCCTACATTGTGAAAGTGAAATTATCAGCAACGTATATCAGTAACTAACCAGAGGCTTTTTGGAGAGTAAGACTTCTGATAGATACCTCAGTAGCTGAAGTTGCTCTTCAGTACTGTCCACATAACCTGTGGACAGATTTTCATCATTATTAATTCATTTATTCAACAGATAGATATTAAATTCAAGGCATAGTTCTAAACTATGCAGTCAATTACAAAAAAATAATGAAGGGCATTAGCTGTGCCTCATAGGACGTTAAAACTCTAAGTGCTGAATGAGACAAATAGGGTTCCCACATCAAGTGCCTGGGCTCCTGTTATAACCTGGACTGTGCTTCCAATGACTTCTCTTGTTTCTGTTTTGGTAAACCCATCATTTGGCTTAGTCCCTATCCTTGCCATGCTCACCCACCAGTAGGTGGACCTCCTTGACCATAACTACAGGCATAGATCTTTGATTGTTTCTTTTCAAATGTTTGCTTACTTTAGAGCTGCAGTCAAATGTTGTTTTGACCATAAGACTCTGAGGGTGTGTGTGGTTGAAACTGTCTTGAGACTCAAAGAGCTATTGAGGAAGGGATTTGGTAGCTGAACTCTTTTGAAGTTTTTCTCTGTCTCTCACACATCTGGGGCTCAATAGCTTAATATATTGTTTAATTTATACATCAATGATAGTTTAATTGGCATTCATGCAAATCAGTTCTGCTGGGAGTTTATTATCCTACTCCAATAGCAAGTAACGCATTCCTTAAATATAGTGTATGTATAAATTCTACATGGTAAGTGAAGCTGTCTTTATGAATTGCTGCTATAGAATATACTAGATTGTGTAGGTTTTAGTACAATCCAGGTAATTATCAAGCCTTTGTAATATTTTCAGGAAAGTGATCCTTTCACTTCAGTTTATGTAACTTGGAAAGTTTTCAGTTACCACCCACTTGTTAGATCATAAACTTAATTCTATGTATCTGAATTTATTTTTCTATTTATAAATTTATCTGGATGTTTTCTCAAAGGTTTCCCAGATTAAAAACCTATGGTTTTGTAAAATTAAAACAGAAGTAATAAGAATTGTGTTAAAAAACAGAATCAGGCCAAGCATGGTGGCTTATGCCTGTAATGCCAATACTTAGGGAGGCCAAGACGGGAGGATCATTTGAGGTCAGGAGTTCAAGACCAGCCTGGACAACATGGCAAAACGCCACCTGTATTAAAAAAATACACAAATTAGCTGGCGTGGTGGTGAATGCCTTTATTCCTAGCTACTCAAGAGTCTAAGGCAGGAGAATAGCTTGAACCCGGTAGGCTGAGGTTGCAGTGAGCCAAGATAGAGCCACTGCATTCCAGCCTGGGTGACAGAGTGAGATCCTGCCTTAAAAAAAAAAGAAAAAAAAGAAAAGAAAAAGAAAGAAAACCAGAATCATACAATGAGAGAGATTGTATAGCCCTTTTAATTGTCCATAATGGATACATTTCTTTTTCTGTGTAATAGTTTATCAGAATGAAAAAAAAGAGTCACTGAACACTGATAAATTTTTCTCTCTCTCTCTCTTTTTTTTCCTTTTTTTGGAGATGAAGTCTCACTCTGTTGCCCAGGCTGGAGTGCAATGGCAACATCTCTGTTCACTGCAACCTTCACATCCTGGGTTCAGGCGATTTTCCTGCCTCAGCCTCCCAAGTAGCTGGGATTCCAGGTGCATCCCGCCATGCCTGGATAAGTTTTTGTATTTTCAGTAGAGATGGGGTTTCATCATGTTGGCCAGGCTGGTCTCAAACTCCTGACCTCAAATGATCTGCCCGCCTTAGCCTCCCAAATTGCTGGTGATGATTTTCATTTAATGGTGTTCTACAAAGTGAGTTCAGGCAATGAAAGCACACATGTCATCTATAGTTTACCAGAAAGTAGTACCAGTCACCAGCATTGAAGCATACTCTTAACACTGGAAAATTTATTCAGCAGCCAGAATTAATCTCAGATTTTGAGACTGGAGCAAAGACTAATTTGGTATGTGTTCATTCAGATTAGTAAATCTCCATGGTGTTCGAACTGTAGAATATCAAATCTAAAATAAGTCAAAAGAGTTGAACAATATCTCATCTCTGAGAAAAAAATGCATTATTTTCAACAGATTTAAGACTGAATTTAAAATCCAACTGCCTATTCCAGTGTATGTTTCTCTAGAATAAGGCCAAGCCCTACAAATTCTGGATAGTGTCCTCCAAGTTGTGTTTAAGTGATAATTGATAAATCTATGGTTTAGATACATATGGAATTCCATATAACTCTAGCTCCAGCCTTTGTGAGTAAAAATTGGCAGTGATCATGGCCTTAATGGGGGCACATATACTCTCCCAAGACTAAACCAGGAAGAAGTTGAACCTCTGAATAGACAAATAACACTCTCTGAAATTGAGGCAATAATTAATAGCTTACCAACCAAAAAAAGTCCAGGACCAGATGGATTCAAAGCCGAATTCTACCAGTGGTACAAGGAGGAACTGGTACCATTCCTTCTGAAACTATTCCAATTAATAGAAAAAGAAGGAATCCTCCCTAACTCATTTTATGAGGCCAGCATCATCCTGATACCAAAGCCTGGCAGAGACAAAACAAAAAAAAGAGAATTTTAGACCAATATTCTTGATGAACATTGATGCAAAAATCCTCAATAAAATACTGGCAAACCGAATCCAGTAACACATAAAAAAGCTTATCCACCATGATCAAGCGGGTTTCATCCCTGGGATGCAAGGCTGGTTCAACATATGAAAATCGGTAAACGTAATCCAGCGTATAAACAGGACCAAAGACAAAAACCACATGATTATCTCAATAGATGCAGAAAAGGCCTTTGACAAAATTCAGCAAACCTTCATGCTAAAAACTCTCAATAAATTAGGGATTGATAGGATGTATCTCAAAATAATAAGAGCTATCTATGACAAACCCACAGCCAATATCATACTGAATGGGCAAAAACTGGAAGCATTCCCTTTGAAAACTGGCACAAGACAGGGATGCCCTCTCTCACCACTCCTATTCAACATAGTGTTGGAAGTTCTGGCCAGGGCAATCAGGAAGGAGAAGGAAATAAAGGGCATTCAATTAGGAAAAGAGGAAGTCAAATTGTCCCTGTTTGCAGATGACATGACTGTGTATGTGGAAAACCCCATCGTCTCAGCCCAAAATCTCCTTAAGCTAATAAGCAACTTCAGCAATGTCTCAGGATACAAAATCAATGTGCAAAAATCACAAGCATTCTTATACACCAATAACAGACAAACAGAGAGCCAAATCATGAGTGAACTCCCATTCACAATTGCTTCAAAAAAATAAAATACCTAGGAATACCACTTACAAGGGAAGTGAAGGACCTCTTCAAGGAGAACTACAAACTACTGTTCAATGAAATAAAAAAGGATACAAACAAATGGAAGAACATGTCATGCTCACGGGTAGGAAGAATCAATATCGTGAAAATGGCCATACTGCCCAAGGTAATTTATAGATTCAATTCCATCTCCATCAAGCTACCAATGACTTTCTTCACAGAATTGGAAAAAACTACTTTAAAGTTCATATGGAACCAAAAAAGAGCCCACATTGCCAAGTCAATCCTAAGCCAAAAGAACAAAGGTGGAGGCATCATGCTACCTGACTTCAAACTATACTACAAGGCTACAGTAACCAAAACAGCATAGTACTAGTACCAAAACAGAGATATAGACCAATGGAACAGGACAGAGCCCTCAGAAATAATGCCACATATCTACAACTATCTGATCTTTGACAAACCTGACAAAAACAACAACTAGGGAAAAGATACCCTATTAAATAAATGGTGCTGGGAAAACTGGCTAGCCATATGTAGAAAGCTGAAACTGGATCCCTTCCTTACACCTCATACAGAAATTAATTCACGATGGATTAAAGACTTACATGTTAGATCTAAAACCATAAACACCCTAGAAGAAAAACCAGGCAATACCATTCAGGACATAGGCATGGGCAGAGACTTCATGTCTAAAACACCAAAAGCAATGGCAACAAAAGCTAAAATTGACAAATGGGATCTAATTAAACTAGGGAGGTTCTGCACAGCAAAAGAAACCACCATCAGAGTGAACAGGCCACCTACAGTATGGGAGAAAAATTTTGCGACCTCCTCATCTGACAAAGGGCTAATATCCAGAATCTACAATGAACTCAAACAAATTCACAAGAAAAAAACAAACAACACCATCAAAATGTGGGCAAAGGAAATGAACAGACACTTCTCAAAAGAAGACATTTTGCAAGCAAAAGACACATGAAAAAATGCTCATCATCACTGGCCATCAGAGAAATGCATATCAAAACCACAATGAGATACCATCTCACACCAGTTAGAATGGCCATCATTAAAAAGTCAGGAAACAACAGGTGCTGGAGAGGATGTGGAGAAATAGGAAAACTTTTACACTGTTGGTGGGACTGTAAACTAGTTCAACCATTGTGGAACTCGGTGTGGTGATTCCTCAGGGATCTAGAACTAGAAATACCATTTGACCCAGCCATCCCATTGCTGGGTATATACCCAAACGATTATAAATCATGCTGCTATAAAGACACAAGCACATGTATGTTTATTGTGGCACTATTCACAATAGCAAAGACTTGGAGCCAACACAAATGTCCAACAATGATAGACTGGATTAAGAAAACTTGGCACATATAAAACATGGAATACCATGCAGCCATAAAAAATGTTGAGTTCATGTCCTTTGTAGGGACATGGATGAAGCTAGAAACCATCATTCTCAGCAAACTATTGCAAGGAAAAAAACCAAACACCACATGTTCTCACTCATAGGTGGGAATTGAACAATGAGAAAACATGGATGTAGGAAGGGGAACATCACACATTGGGGACAGTTGTGGGGTGGGGGGGAGTGGGGAAGGATAGCATTAGGAGATATACCTAATGTTAAATGACGAGTTAATGGGTGCAGCACACCAACATGGCCCATGTATACATATCTAACAAACCTGCACGTTGTGCACATGTACCATAAAACTTAAAATATAATAATAAAAAAAATTAACAGGAGACTTTTATACAGATAAATTTGCTTTGCATCATGATCAGCACTAAAGAGCATCATAGATTTAAACCATATTTACACAGTTAAAACAATGTAACCAAATATGCAATATATTATGTAACATTCTACAAGATGTTTTCAAACATGCAAACTGACCTTTAAAACAATTTTGCATAAAATAACATTTCTAGGTAAGAGAAAATACAGACATGTGGTTACGGCAAAATATTTCTGTTCAAATTACAAAATACTGAATGACAAATCACAGGATAGAAAAGAATTATATTATACCTGGAATTTGAAGTCTTCAAATTTATTTAGATATATGTATCTATATGTATTAATAGAGACATATTTAACTGATTATAAGTTTAGAACATTTATATTTTAAAGATGTCATGCTTTAAAAATTATTAATATCTACAGGATTGCTGCAGATATTTTAATTTTAAACAAATATTTTTCACTAATGTGACCAGTATTTATGTCCTATTTCATTAAACAGACATTTCAAGATTTTTTAGAGTTAATTTTTAAAAATTAAGTATCACAAATATTTCTGAAGTACTACCTTAAAAAATAAAACTCTTTCCTAGCTTTTCATATAGTTAAACATTTTCATAATGACTAAAAAGATAAAAATAAATTAACAACCATAATTAAATTAGAATTCTACTTTTTATATCAGATGAAATACTACATAAAATGTCCAGAAAATCTAGTGTTAATGAGGCTGTGCAGCCTGGACATTTGATGTCTCATCTGTGGGAATGTGAACTAACCCAACCATTCTGAATAATTGTTGGTTCTGTGTGTTAACAGTCTAGAGTCCTGAAACAAGGATCTTAATTCTAAAATAAAATCCTATTCTAAGAATACACCGAGGGTTGATAATCAAGGAAGTTTCAAAGTTATAGAGAAGAACCTTCATCCTAGCATTATATATGTAATCATCCATATAAACCAGATAGTGTTGAATTAAATTACAGAAAAACAAAGAGCCTACAGAATATGTTTCTCTTTGTGTACAACGGTAAATGTACACATCTATCCATGTAAAATTTTACATCTCAGGAAGATAGGTACCAACATGTTAACATGCTATATCTATAAGATAAGAAATTTTACTTTCCTACAATTTCATACACACACACACACACACACACTCTCAAACACACATACCCACACACCGAGGATATATACACACACAAATATATATATAAACATACATGTTTATATAGGTACACACACACATACATATACACAGATGGTCAACAAATTATAATGGTTCAATTTATGATTATTTTTACTTTATGATGAAGCAAAAGTGATAGCTTTGAATAGAATATAACCATTCTGCTTTTCACTTTCAGTACAATATTCAACAAATTACATAAAATATCCAATACTTTATTATAAAGTGGGTTTTGTATTCAATGATTTTGCCCAATTGTCAGCTGATGTAAGTGTTCTGAGCACATTAAAGTATGCCAGGCTAAGCTGTGATATTCAGTAAGTTAGGTATTAAATACATTTTTAACTTACTGTATTTTCAATTTATAATCAGCTTATCAAGACTTAACCCCATTGTACATTGAAAAGCATTTGTATTGCATTAAACATGTTATATATATTTTTAATTGAAATTACTGGCAACTTTTGAAAAAATGTAATGAAATAATGTGCTTTGCTATTGGTTAAAATGTTTTTGGGCAGGGTCAGTGGCTTACACCTGTAATCCCAGCACTTTGGTAGGCTGAGGTGGGCAGATCGCTTGAGGTCAGGAGTTTGAGACCAGCCTGGCAAACAGGGTGAAACCCCATCTCTACTAAAAATACAAAAATCATCTGAGTGTGGTGGCATGTGCCTGTAATCCCAGCTACTAGGGAGGCTGAGGTGTGAGAATTGCTTGAACTAGGCAAGCAGAGGTTGCAGTGAGCCAAGATCATGCCACTGCACTCCAGCCTGGGCAACAGAGTAAGATTCTGTCAAAAAAAAAAAAGAAGGAAAGAAAAGAAAAAAAAGTTTTTAGTTTCAAGCAACAGAATAGTCAACTAATTAAAGAAAAAAACAAGGAGCAACTTTTACCAAATCGCACAACAAATAGATGGTATCAATGCTTAGTTAATTCAACATGATCCACTTTGTGATTCTCTTATCTTTCTACCTATGTTTTCAAGATGGCTATGGCATTCCCAGACTTACAACTTCATGTGACAAAATCCAATGGCAGGAAATAATAAGTGATGGCATTTTGGAACTTTAAGGAAAAACTTTAAGGATTGGAAAACAGGGATGCCATATGTCCAGTAACATGGGATAGCCTCTCCTAATTAAGGATTGCTGTATGTCCTGAATGACTTTCTAATGTAATGAAGGTGAATAACCTGCTTTGTTTAATTATACAATCCCAAATGTAACTGCCTAAGTGCCAAGTACTTTTGCATGGTTTTAATATGCCATGAATTTTGCAAGAATGAAACTACTATGTATATGAGAAAAGATGGTAGATTTTTTCATTTAGATACTCATTTCAGAGTCTCAATAGGAAAAACAGAACACACTCAAACTAAGATAATTTAACATAGGTTTATTTCCAAAGAGACTACTTACGAAAATGTCAGGGGAGAAGGGTGAAGGAATCACAGAAATCACACCCCACAATAACTCTGGGTTAGTAGCAGCAGGCAGAATTCTGGGGAGTAAACTTCCCTGATCACGCAAGGAAACACTAATTTTCTTATGAAAAAGATTGGTCAAGGAGACCTAGCAGAGAGGGAGTTTAGGCAATAAACCCCAATCCCATTTCCTCCTTCCCTTTAATCTCATGAACATGCATAGAAGGCAATGAGCAAGGGAACAGATTGAGATATTCAATATGGACCATTCCACTTGGACAAAAGCCAGTAAATAGGGGAGTATAACAGGGGACAAGGGCCAAACAGAAAGTATCTATTACATTTACCAATGCAGATCAATCATGTCAAAAACAGAAATGGCAGTTTTGGCATTTGGTTATTCAATGAAACTATATTTGTAGCTTTTTATTTACAGTGTTTCAAGGTATGGGCGAAGATATGAAAATTTCATTATGTTCTATTGTATTTGATATGTAAATGTTCTGGCACAATTATATACATTTTGGATCATATATTGACAGTAAATTATTTCTCCTTTGTTAGCTTCAGCATACCATTAATATTTTCAACAACTTGAATGCATACATTGTGTTCTCACTAATAGTTTAGAATAGTGAAGGGGTCTTTGAAGAATTTCTTATGAAGTAGAGGCATTGGGTCAGACAGAGCCGAAAACCATTGGCTTAGATTAATCACTATTTATCCTAGGGCTGAAGAGGGCCAATTGAAGACACGAATGTCCAATCCCTCTATGACCTTGGAGTTCTATGAACCAGAGAAATAGAGACTGGGTCTTAAGGAGGTAATAAGTGTGCCTTCTATGGTTTATAATAATATACATTGTCTTAACAATCGAATACTTAAAAGTTAATGCCCTCATAATATGCAAAATTTTTAATAAGCACATTGGTCCCTGTGTTCAAGTAGTTGGTAATCAAATTAGCGAAGTATGGTAAGTCTTTTGAAGAGCATTAAACAGCAGAGAATGTAAGAAATTTGTCTCTATAATAGTGTGGGCCTTCTGTGTTTCCTAAGGGCACATTCATATGATCTAATAACTGAGCAGAGAGAAGCCTAAAGGATAGTTTTTGGTTTCATTTGTTTGTTTTTGTCAATTAACATACATTCCTAGATTAAAAGTCAACTATCTTTTCCTTGGGAGTCAAATATAGGAGAAGATAGTGAAGAGGCAAGGAAAATTACAGCAGCTCAACAGCCTTACCCTGGAAATATCTGTATTGTGTACCACTATAGCCTACCTTTATCAGTCAGATAACAATGTCAAAGAGGCAAGCTTGGCACCATTGCTCTTAGTGAATCCCTGCTGCCAGCCTTTTATCCTAAGTGCTCTCCAAAGACCCATTTAATGGACCTTTCTGAAATTGTGCTCAGGATCAATATGAGGCTCATTGATACAGCAGCTTTGGAACTCACCATTTGCTTATTTATTAAACCTGGGATAGTTGCCCGACTTCTATCATCTGAAATCCTCTCCATGACTTTCAAAATTACCAACATTGGTTCCAACATCATTCCTAGAAAACATTTCAGTGGAGTATATTTATCTGACATTTGACTGTATTTATAGCAGTAAGAATCTATGATGATTCCTCCCAAAATAATCCCACAATTACCCATTTTGGGTCACCTTTGAGGGTCTTATCCTTAATATCAGAGATCTGTTCTATACATTTGAGTCTTAGAAATAATTACTAGCTTCTCTCTGAATTTAACTGAAGTTCCTTACTTTTATTCAGCCTGTTACCTAAATTACATAATGTATTGAAGGCTAAAAACTGTCCAAATTTCTGATTACATTGAGTTAAAAATGGGAATATGACTTTCTTTTTCTAACTTGGCAAAGATTATGTTTTTTTCATGAAGAAATATAGGCATATTTAAACACTCAGGATCTGAGAATTTGAAATACATGAAACTTAGCAAGTGGTCTTTAAGTAGTTTTCATTTCTAAATTATAGTACATACCATTGAATGCTACAGAAGGAAAGACAATGAGGGATTACTCATAAACATTGCCTTTATGATATCCTTCCAAAGAAAACCAAGTTTCCCTGTGCTTGGACTCATAAAGCAGAAATGCTTACCTTGCTTTTATGTCACTAACAAACAATTGTGCCTAGTCATTTAATTCTAACGCATTTAAGCCATCTAGAGAGTGGAGCCCCTAGGGAAAACTACAAATGGAAAATTCATTGATTTTTGATTTTGCTTTCCTATGGATTAAATTTAACACTTTCTTGTAAATCTCTCCCTTTACAGATCATATGTGATAAATAGTTATCCAACTTTCTAGATGTCCACCCAGAGCTGCTTCCATATGAAGAGGTGGAAACGGATTCTGTGCATGATACTGGTTAGGATTGGGAACTGTTTTTTTTTAAAGGAGATTTTTAAAATTTGTTTTCCTTGTACACATAGCCTTAATATTGTGTTGCTAACTGCCCTCTGGGAACAAAGTCATACCAATCACAAATACATTGCCTAAAGTGGGAGGGTTATTACTCTGCTGTGAATTCCATCTCCTATTATGTTTTAAAGTTGCTACAAACTTGAGACATTACTATGTAGATGACATTCCCAGCAAATCCCCAAACAACACTTAATGAGATTTCAAATACCAGGATCATGAAACAGTAAGAGATATAAGGAAATAAAGAAAAGCACAGTATATGTGTAGAAGGCTTTAAAACACAAATTTTATAATTACGAATGCATATAATAAGGAACAAGCTTTATTCTAAATAGCAATTATATCAGAACTACGATACAGGGAATAAAAGTGAATATTAAGCCATTGTACCAACAATAACAGAGCCCTTTTTCTGCTGCGTGATGGAATTTAGTGTTTACTAAGGAAGAAAAAAATGCAAGATATCTTAAATTTGGTACTTTCCAACAAATTTAAGAAATGTGTACACACTTGAGGAGACTTAAGAAGTCTCTGACTAAAACACTAGAAAAGAAAAGCAGTGAAAAGCCAAATAAGTATTACTCAACAATAACAACATTTGTTACTATTATATTAATATTAAACACACTATTAAGCAACAACATTTCAGTTACTCACTGAGCCCAAAGTCATTTTTCATGAACCATTCACAACACTGATAACCTATTGAAAAATGATTGAAAACAAAAAAGCTTATTTCTTTCCATGTCCTTTTAAAGCCTTCTCATGTGTCATTTCATATAATCCTTATAACGAATCTATGGAGTATATACTGACTTTATCTCTGTACAGAAAAGAAAACTGAATCACATTCAGAATAAGTTGCAAAGTTCCCCAGATAATCAGTGTCATGGGTGAAGTATGATGTCACAGTGTACTCAAGAGTAATTTAGGGAAGCAGTACAAATAATGGTTGAAAGCACAGGTTCTGGGGTAAATAGCCTGAAGTCAAAATCTAGTTCATATCCTCAGTGGCTGTGTGATCTTGGGAAATTTCCCTTAACTCTCTGTGTCTTGATTTTATAGTTTCATCCATTTTTGCCTCTCATATGATCTGGTGAGCGTTACACTAGTTTATGCTTCTAGGACACTGAAAACAGTACCTGGCTCTTGATAAATATTAACAATTTTGTTTCATTTTCTTCACCTTGAGTATTTCATGGCCAGATGGAAATCAATGTCAATATGAAAAAATGTTCATAATTCAGCAGGAAGAAATACAAAACCATATAAACAACTTTGTTTTACTGGCAAGTGTATTTGGAAGCTATGTTAAATTGAGAAGGGGAAGGGAAAGCCTCTAAGGATATCGATTAATCAATGACTGAAAGCTGATGAGACTTGTCTGGAATTTTTTTGGAGACTCTGAGACTTAAAATTTTGACAAAATAAGGAGATGAATTGAGTAGTGTGGAAGAGACATTTTCTGAAGTCAGCAGAGAAAGGAGAGACAAATATGGTAAGGGGAAAATGGTATGAAGTAATAATATGAATGAAGTGCTTTCTAAAGTATAACACATGTAAGTTGTGTTAAATGTAAACTATCATGATTATATCATTACTGTCTGACTGATACAACTATATCCACCTCAGTTAGCCACATAAGATCAATTTTCCTATACCTTAGAGAATACCAGTAACCTCCAGTTCAGAAACAGCATAAATATCTATCCACAGCTGAGCAGACACATACAGCTAGCTACCAGATGAAATGGGCTATATCTTCAAATACTATTGTTTTCCGTTTTTTAACTGTGGCAAAACACACTCAACAATTTACATCTTAACCACTGTTAAGTATACAATTCAGTGTCATTAAACGTATTCACAATGTTGTGCAAGCATCACCACCACCCATCTCCATAATTCTTTTTGTCTTGTAAAATTGAAATCCTGTACCCATTAAAAAGTGACTCCCCATTCCCCGCCCTCCCAGGGCAACTACAGCATTACTTTCTGTCTTGATGAATCATACAATATCAAATGCAATTTTTAAGATATTTAAAATCTTTTGTCTGGAAGCGAAGTGGAAGTTAATATCAATGGCTATGCCTTCAGTGAGTTCTCAGACCACATTGCAATGTAGTTAACTATTTATCTTTTATTACGTTCTAGACCTATTATTTCTTTCTGGTACAAAAATATCCTCTTTGTATATTATGGCATTTACCTCTATCTCCACACCTTTCTGCATCTGTCATCCACAGATCATCAGCCTCTTGCTTAGTCTCCATTTAATGACAATTTCTATTTAGTATACAAGAGTCCTGCCCCCTGCAATGGAATTTCTTCACTCTGAAAAGCTCTGACTCTGGCTAATGGTCTCTGTTATGTACTCATCCCTAGAGCCATGTCTTCAAATATTTCTCAGAACTTCTTCACATCTAAAAATCTAGGATTAATTTATTGCTCTCTGATTATATTCTTCTGGTATTTCAAGTATCCTGTATAACTTCTTCATCTGCCCTTGCTTTTCTTCTACATCAAGATGTCAAGTTCATGGACTTCCCAATTTATCATTTTAAAAATTTATTTCAAGCCTTTATGAGTCACTACAATGTACATATGTTCTCAGGAATTATGGCCTTACAATTTGTATATGAGAATAGTTCCTGTGTCAGGCATTATGGACATAAGAGTAAATAAATTCTAGCCCCTGCCTACAAGGAGCTAATTCCCAGCCTAAGACAGATTGCAAGCCAATAATATGCAGAGTTGTAAGTCTAAGGAAACTGATTGGGATGTACCTAATTCGAGCTGGGAATATCAGAAGAAAAACTTTTTGAAAGTCATGAGACATGAGCTGTGCCTAAAAGAATAAAAAATAGAGTGAGAAATAAGAATAAATAAATTAGGGAATGAGATGGGTATAATAGTAGAAAAAAGAAATCTCTTTAGATAAAACAGGTTATGAGAGTATATAGGAGGCTTATTTACTCAGTGTGTTTGGAGAAAACAGGTTGAAAGGAGAAATAGGGGAGAAAGTTACAAAGGGAATCAAATGTGTTAGTAGTTGAGGGAAAAGCAAATATTGAATACGACCCATAGATCTTGGATAACCCAGTGTTTAGTAGTAGCTTACATAAAAGGTTGTGACAAAATAACCAGAGATATGTGGAGAAAATAATAACTGAGTGTCATATTTCCTCTCAGTAGAAACCTAAAAATGAAATGTAATCACACACTGATCTTTTAACTGACCTCCACTTATCTTGCTGCCTGGATTGGTATACATATTCCTCTGCCTGAAAAATTGCTCAACACTTTTGAAAGGTTGTTTCTCACTGTTACTCCCAGGCATTTCTGCTAACACCAGCTGAGTTGTAAGGGGCCCTCCAGGAGGCCTAGGTTGTTCTCCTTATCACATATATTATTTTCATTTATCAATTTACCCAGAACATCTAATGAAATATTATGGACACCAATAACATGAATACAAATATAGCTATAGACCCTAAAAAGTAAATTGATGTCTCTTGAAAGACTGTCATGTCTTAGATGCTAAATTTGGAGTATGTGTTTCTAATAAATAAATAGCTTGCTTTAATAATTCTGATTTATGAATGTAATATAGGGGAGCAGCTTTTATTTCATCCTTAATCTTAAAAAACAATTAGCTGGGTGTGGTGGCGGGCACCTGTAGTCCCAGCTACTCAGGAGGCTGAAGCAGAAGGATGGTGTGCACCTGGGAGGCGGAGCTTGCCGTAAGCCAAAATTGTGCCACTGCACTCCAACCTGAGTGACAGTGTGAGACTCTGTCTCAAAAAAAAAAAAAAGATCATACAAGGAGTAAATGATAATTTAGCATAAAACACAACTTGAGCCTAAAACACAGATCATAGGGCTCAAACTTTGTTATTTTATGGGATTATACTAACCAGTTAATATTCAAAATTTACCATTTCAAAAGAAGAAATATTGGTCTGGGAAAATTTCCATTGCTTATACAGAAGAATGGAGGAATCTTTTTGAGAAAAACAATTCTAATGATCTTCCTCATCACTGGTTCCAAAACCAAGCCCATGGAAGGCCTGCATAGGGATAATGTGGAGAACATGCAAAAGAAATACACATCACCAGCTCCTCAACTCAGAGCTCCAAGGGAATGGCCAAGGAAGCTGTATTGTCCTAAGAAATTTGAGACTGTTTTGACTTACAATAAATCCTGCTCAATCATATGTATGTATACACACACACACACACACACACACACACACACACACACACAGACGGTGTTGTCAGTGAAACCTCTAACATTGCATCTTGACTGGACAGATTTGACAATTAAAATGGCTGGAAGAAAATAGGCTTCATAAGTGTCACTTATTATTCACATTACACATTAAAAGGACATCTCCTAAATTAAATCTTGTCTATGATAAAAAGGCAGAAAATCATGACCCAAGGCTCATTTATAACTGCAGAAATGTTCAAGATAGACCAATGCTTGCTATGTTTAGGAAGTGACAAGAAAGTACAGGTCTTTATAATCTACCATTTTGCCCCTTTTGATACCAGGTGACCTTCATAATGCAGGCTATAGAGAATTGCAAGATTTGTCAGAGATTTCAGGTCTTTGGAAAGCTATGCTCTTTCACAAGAAGAGCCATGGAAACAGGAAGAAAGTCAATTCCCACTTAAGGTAATCAGAATTTACAAATATTCCTTTCTTCATTGAAATCTCAATAGGCACTTCGATATTATATTTAATTAATTCTTTTGTTACAATCATGCATCACGTAACAACATTTTGGTCAAGGATAGTGCACTTGTATGACAGTGGTGCAATAAAATCATAACACTGTATTTGTACTGTACCTCTTGTATGTTTAGACATGTATAGATACACTTACTGTATAGATATAAGTAAGTATAGATATACTTAACTGTTGTGTTACAATTGCCTACAGTATTCAGTACAGTAACATGCTGCACAGGTTTGTAGCCTAGGAGGAATAGGCTATACCACCTAACCTAGGTATGCAATCAGCTATAGCATCTAGGTTTGTGTAAGTAAACTCTGTGATGTTCATACAATAATAAAATTGTCCAGCAATGCATTTCTCAGACTCACCCCTGTCATTAAGTGACACATGACTGTATTAGTTAACACTATGGGAACTTCATGGGAAATGGACACTCTAGCTCCACTATAAATAGAAACTGTTTATGTCAAAAAACACATAAAAGCATAGTTGCAAGATTACAATTCCTTCCAGATATTTCATTTAGTATCTCCACAGATCACTAACTTCCTGAATAGCATTCTTGTGTCTCCACTGCCTCACATTTGATTTCAGGTCATTCCATCAATTGTCAAAGACGCATCCAACATTAACTTTCCAACTACTGGTTTGGATTGTGTCAACATTGTCATTCTGGGCCACAACAACACAAAAGGCTAACTCAGTGAGGTAACATAGACACTGATCAGTGAGATTTTGCTGATGGGTGGTACCATTTTTTACCAAGATCAAGGGTATTCATACCTTCAGGCATCTAGATAACATTGAAAAGGGCAGGTTCATAGATAAAAAGGGAAAGAGGAAGGGTTTTTGCAGTATATATGAGCTACCATGTCTCCTGTTTAACCTGAGTCTGAAGAGCTTCAAAGTGCAGGTGCCATGAATGCCTCTTTAATAGCTCCATGTCGATTGATTTTCTGGGCTACACTTCACAGCATTCAAATTGCTAAATGCATATAAACTACTAGTGAATATTTATTACCTGGATTTGTGCTTTTGAGTGAACTTATCTATAGTTATGTGCTTCAGTGATCCAACTTGGGGTGCACTCCAAACTTTGATAAATTAAAGACCCTGCGTATTCCTTGAGTAATGCTACACTGACAACTGATTTAGTGAATGCCACTGTGAAAATAATAAACCTCTTGGTGAATATATTTAGACATGTCTTGGAACCTGTACACATCTTAACCAGGGATGTTACTTGGTCTTTTTATGTTCAGGAGTGTCTGGAGATAGAAAAACATACAGGATTGTAATTGTTGCCTGTGAGACTAACAGAAAATTCAAGCTAGTGAAGTATGCTTATGCATGGTACACTTCTCACCAGCAATTTTAGGAAGTTCTACCCACAACCCGTATGTCTTTTGATATGTGAGTTACCTTGGAGAGAGAAAAAGAAACTCTGAACACAAGCATGAAATACTTTCGAATTTTATCTAGAGTTGGACTTGTCCAAAAGCTTTTGTATAAACTTGCTTGATGAGCAACTGTTGTCCACTGGTACCTTCACCGTACAATCCACACACAACCAAACTTCACAACTGGACACCTAAATTTGCACTTTGTTTGGTAAAGTTGAATGAAAAATGTTGTCTTTTAAGCTTATGTTCTCTTATGAAAGCTGTTATTAGATTAATTTTACACCAAGATATGCCAGTTAGGAAATAACTTCCCATTTAATTTCACCAGATCCCTGTGGGTGGACTAATTACTCATACATCACACTTACTCTGGTGGTGAAATGCCTCAAAAGAAGTTCTCCAGAGTGTTGCTTTACCTAGAAGGACAAGAATGAAGAGACATAAAAATCATTCATTAAGAAGGAAGAAGATTTTCCTTGCCTAGATTTTCACTTGTAGGATCCAATTAATTTTATCACTTAATATTTTATCCTGGTGGGCATTCACTTTACAAATTTGTAAGGTCAGTAGAAATGGAAACTTTTGGAAATCAAACTGTAAATGTTCTGTAGACGTTGACAGAAATAGCTATTTGGAGCTGCGCTTTTGCCAACTGGACACTCAGAGAAAATCTGTGAGAGGATATTTTCAGGAAGTCATTGAACCCCCTAAAAATCAAGTTTATTGCTTTTACCATAAATATAAATAATTTATTTATTATCAACCACTTTCAATATTCCAATAAGTAACTTTATTGTTTATTTCATTGACATGATCTACATAGACATGCAATTTATCTTCTTTTGCGATACATTCAGAAAATTGGCTGCCTGGAAAAGCCATGTTTTGAAATTACCACCTGTTTGATGATTTTTTTTTATACTTTAAGTTTTAGGGCACATGTGCACAACGTGCAGTTTAGTTACTTATGTATACATGTGCCATGTTGGTGTGCTGCACCCGTTAACTCGTCATTTAGCATTAGGTATATCTCCTAATGCTATCCCTACCCCCACCCCCCACCCCAAAACCGGCCCTGGTGTGTGATGTTCCCCTTCCTGTGTGCATGTGTTCTCATTGTTCAATTCCCACCTATGAGTGAGAACATGCAGTGTTTCATTTCCACTTAAGTATCTATCTCTATTTGCCCTTTATTTTCACTTCCATCCTAGCTCTATCCCTTGTCTCCTTCGTGTGTCTCAGGATAAGTGCCCTATAACATTTTATATTTCTGGAAACCCTTCAATATAATGTTATTACATGTAAAAATAAAAAGTCTGTTTTAGCGAACTCTTTCTTCACAAATTATCTTTTCCTAGTTCCCTATTAGACAATTTTTGTAGGCTCCATATGCTATTAATTTATATTCACTTTTAGAAGAATTTTCATCAAAAGCAAAAGTCTTATGTAAATTGTTTATATGCTATTTGTACTTCTGTGTATATATACACACATAGCCACATACATATATGTAACTCCAGAGGCCTGCCTGGACTGTTAAATAACTGTATTGAACAAGAGCAAGAAAAAGCTGTTCAAATTTCAAACAACAAGTTGAACTGAAGAGCTCACATCTTTGAATGAAATAGACACTAGTAGCCTTTAAAAATTAAACATTTCTACTGTTTTAAAAAATTATAGCCATCATAGTATGAGGAAAAAATGTAATAATCCTTTTTAATTCTTGCCATTTTATTAACCACGGAGTCCTTATGCCCTGACTTCATTGGTACCCCTTTGAGATTAAACAGAACAATTAATTTAAAATTCTGATAAATAAATAAATTACACCATTTACTTGAGGTACTCTTTCACCTTTCAAGAAATATTTTGAGAATTCATTAGCTAAATATTGCTATAATTCAGGCTAGTAATAAATGGAAATAATGATTTCATTGTAAAGTTTAAACTAATGATGGTATGATCTGGAAATTTTGTTAACCTAGAAGACATAATTAGCTCTAGAGGTGAAATGAAAGACAAAATCACTTCACATATTAGTAAAAAACAAATAATATAACTTTATAAGCTACTGCTGTTCTTTTGCTATTAAGAACCAATGACATCTGTAATTAGGGAAGATTATGGAAAGGTTAAAGATGAGAATACATGCAGTCTATATACAGGAAACCCAAACTGTTTAGGTTAAGGAAATGTCTGCAAAAGTCATATTAATTAGCAGGTTCACAGGAAACTAACATTTATTGTATAAATTCCATGGTCAAATGTATTAGGGCTCCACGCACACAACTGTGCGCCATCTATGTTACCACACAGTGCTTACTTCTTTCAGTCTTTATTCATTTCTCTCCTAATGGTCTGTATGGTATTATTACATAGTTCTAAAAACCTTCCATGAGGCAGAAATTTCATTTAATGATACAGCTTCAAAAATAATTAAAACCAGTAGAAACTTTCTATTTTTTTATGAAGCAGAATTATTGAATTTTCAGTTTCATTTATTTAATGTTACAAGAAGACAAACATATTTCTTTAATTCCTTCTTGTTATTTTTGCCTAACATCAACCAAAGCCATTTATTTCATTTGAAGGTGAAAACTGCTCATCAAAATCCAGTTTAAGCTGAGAAACAAAGAACTAAATTTTGCATGAGACATTATACACTGCATAAATATAAAACAGGACCAGAAACAATGGTGGATTAGCAATTTTTAAAAAGACAAAAGCAGGTTATCATCAAATCAATTGTTACCAACACACCAATGCCACCTCTAGGCCAGAAAATTAGCCACTTACCAACGGGAAAACAATGATTGAAGACAAAGTTCACCAGTGAAAGTTGGTTATTTTTTTCCATCCTTGCATCAACTAAAATGATATCTACAGTTCCTCTTAACACTTTTCTTACTTTCAAATATGTGGGTATGCTTCATTAGCTGAGGCCATGTTCCATATGTACATCTGGCTACAAGGGAAACTGGGAATGTGAGCCCTGATCCTAATGTTTGTAGAGTATTTAGAAGTTTGAGAATTCCCTCCAAATAAAGAGTTTTCTAAAACATTGTTAGACAAAAAGTTTGAATTACAAAATATGGTAGTAGCTCAGGTCTAAACCAAATGCAGGGAAAAAACTATTAACTCTAAAAAAATTAAATACACTTTGATGGTAATGAGAAACAGAAAAGAGGCAGAAATAGTAGAATACTCCACTAATGATGAAGTATTTGACCACAGAATAAAGAAAATTGCAATGATTTAAATTTGCATCAATGCAACTTCACACCTGATGACGCTTCCCAGTCTGTGCAAAATTAGATGTCTACGAGTAAAGCGGTGAGTTTTACTAGCTTGAGGAATAAGAGCACAGAGTTCCAGGCTGACAGAAAAGAGGAACTGGGAAATTTGAATGACATGGGAGGAAATCTCACACAACTGAAAGTCACAGAGGAGAATATCACAGAGTAAAAATCTAAAATCAGCACTTCAACTTCATTCAGATATATGATGGCTGCTACATTTCACATTCATAAAAGGAGACTCCATAGAATCCAGCAGAAAACAACAGCTAAATTACTAGCACAGAGCAGAGATTTCAACCATTGCATATAGCTCAGGAGTGAAAGTTTGGTGTTTGACTACGGAAAGAAGACTAATGTTAGAAAAGAGTCATTCTTCAAAGGAAAATAAACGAACCTATCTCTACAAAATATCATACACATAATCTAACATATAATTTAACCTGCCTAGACATAGAACCAGGAAAATATGACACATGACAAAAAAAGTAAACAATGAATTAAGACATTGAAATGGCCCACATGCTGGAATTAGAATATAAGAAATTTAAAATAAGCTATTATAAGCATATTCAAGGATTTAAGGAATAGATGGTCATAAGAGGGAATATATGGAGAATCTCAACAGAGAAGTAAAAATGATAAAGAGATAATAGGACAAATTTTAGAACTGAGAGACAGAATATCTTTTATAAAAATGTCATTTTATGTACATACCAGTAAATTAAAGATGGCACAAAAAATTATCAGTGCACTTAAAAACAGATCAAGAACAGTTTCCCAATACAGTTAATACAAACGAAGAAAAATAATAAAAATAGGGCCAGTCTAGCACTAATATAATTGGAGTCCTAGAAAGAGTAGAGAAGTAAATGAGACAAAAAAAGCTATTTGAAAAAGTAAAGACCAAAAGTTTTCCTAATTGTCAGCATATATCAACTTACAGGTTTAAGAAACTCAAAGAACAGAATAAAAATAAAGAGAACCAAATGTAGACATACCATAGTCAAACCACTGGGCAAAAAATAGAGTAAATCTTGAAAGTAGCTAAAGGGAGGGAGAAAATAATTTACATCCGTGGAAACAAATAGACAGATGACCTGTCATCAGAAATGACACTTTAAAAAGCAATGAAACTACATCTTCAAAAGAAAACTGTCAACTCCAAATTCTATAACTAGATAAAGTAATTCTTGAGAAAAGAAAGATTTATTCAGATAAAAGAAAGCTTCAAACAATTGTCATTAGCAGACCTAGATACAAGAAATGCAAACGGAAATTTTTTAGGCTAAAGAAAGATAACAACAGATGGAAATTCTGACCTACAGGAAGCAAGGAGAAGCTCTAGGAATGGCATGTGCATAAACGTGAAAAACTAAGGCTTTTTTTTTTTAGTTTTATAACAAACAACTGATGCTTTGAATAAAAAATTAAGTGTACTATTGATAATGTGTGTAAAATATTCTAAATTAATAGCTCTGACAGGAGACTAAACGCAACAATTTTGTCGCAACTTTTCTTTATGTTACATGAAAACGCTGACTATTAACACTAAGTGGACTGCGATAAGCCCAGGATGTTTATTATAATCCCTAGAGAACCACCACATTATATGAAGATATTCTTCTAAAATGCCAATAAAGGAATTAAAATGGAATGCTGAATATTGTTCAGTTAATATAAAAAGGCATGAAAGAAAGAGGAGCAAAAAATGATGGAGCAAATAGAACATAAGAGCAAAATAGGCTGGTCGCAGTGGCTCAGCCTGTAATCCCAGCACTTTGGGAGGCCGAGGCGGGTGGATCACGAGGTCAGGAGATTGAGACCATCCTGGCTAACACGGTGAAACTCCGTCTCTACTAAAAATACAAAAATTAGCCAGGCATGGCGGCGGGCGCCTGTAGTACCAGCCACTCCGGATGCTGAGGCAGGAAAATGGCGTGAACCCAGGAGGCGGAGCTTGTAGTGAGCCGAGATCCCGCCACTGCACTCCAGCCTGGGTGACAGGGCCAGACTCCGTCTCAAAAAAAAAAAAAAGAAAAAGCAAAAATAGTAGGCTTAAATCCAACCTTTTCAGTAATTATTTCAAATGTAATTTAAATACTCCAAATAAAACACAGATTGTCCAACTGGATAATAAAAGTACCTATAAGAGATGCATGCCAAATATTATGGTATAGATAAGTTGAGAGTAAAATAATTTCCAAGTATACCAAGGTAACAACAAGGACAAGAAATCTTATGTGGCTATATTAGTATAAGAAAAAGTAGACCTCCAAACGAGCAATATTACAACAGACAGCTATTTCATAATGATAAAATGTCAAGTAATTATGAAGACATAATGCTGTATTGCTGACAGAATAACTAAAGAAAATTAAGATAAAATAATTTTGACAACAGCTTGACCTAATCGATATTGACCAAGACAATAGAATATATGTTCTATTATGCTACACATGAAACATTTATCAATAGGCTATAGACCACAAAATATCTCTCAAGAAGTTTCAAAACACTGTAATCATGGAAAGTAAGCTTTCTGACCATAATGAAAATGAGTTGAAATGGGTAAAAACAAGCTACCCAGGAAAGTCTACACTATTGGAAGATTTAAATACACCTTAAAATGCCCTTTAGCTCAATGAAGAAATCATAAGAAACACTTTTAAATACATTGAACTGAATACAAATAAAAATATACTATATAAAAATGTATGGGATAAAGTTAAGCAGACCCAGAGTAAATTTTTTGTATAAATGCTTATTCTAGAAAAGAGAAGTTCAAAACAAGTGAACTAATTTTCTACCTTAAAAAGAAAATCTAAAACAAGAGAGCAAATTAAGTCCAAAACAAGTAGAGGAAAGGAAATAAAACAGAAATTAGAAATCAATGAGACAGAAAACAGAAACAGGAGAAAATCAACATGGCCAAAAGTTAGTTCTGTGAGAAAGAAAGAAAACGCAAATTATACATATCAGGGATTAATGAGATTGTACAGTTGTAAACACAAGAGACATTAACAAGATAATGGAATATTGTGAAACATTATATACAAATTTTCATTACTTGGATGAAAGGGTGACTTCCTTGAAAAAAACTTATAAAAAAATTCACAAGATTTAATGGAACATATGAAGTAATTGACATTTATTAAAGTAATTAAATTAATTGTAAAATACCTGCATATAAAAACATAAAATTAAATAAATAAAAAAATAAGCAAACCCCAGATCTAAAGAATTTCACTGGTGAATTCTTTCAAACGTTTAAAAAAAATAAAATTTTTAAATTATTTCAGAAATAAAGAAGGGGGAAATTCCAAACTTGTTTTATGAGTCAGAATCCTGATACCAAAATTACAAAACCTAGGAATGCAAAATTGACTTCAATTTAAAGAGCTATCATCATTCTAATCTGTGATTCTAATGAATTTGGCTATCTTAGATACTTTATACAAGTGGAATCATACAGTTTGTCCTTCTGTGACTGATTTACTTTACTTAGCATTAATGTCCTCTAGGTTCATCCATGTTGCATATTGACGGGCTTTCTTGTTTTAAAGCTGAATAATATTCCGTTGTATGAATATACCACATTTTCTTTATCTTTTCATCTGCCAATAGACATTAACCTTATTTCCACATTTTAATTAGTGTAAATAATGCTGCAATGAGCCTGAGAATCATCCCAATCTCCATTCTTTCAGATAAATAACCTGAAGTGAGACTACTAGATCATATGGTAGTTCTACTTTCTTAATTTTTTTGAGGAACCACCGTACTGTTTTCCATAGAGGCTGCACAGTTTTACTTTCCCAGAAACACTGTAGAAGTGTTCCAATTTCTCCCCATTGTTAACACTCGATATCTTTTTCTTTTAATAAGACCATTCTAAAGGGCTTGAGGCAATATCTGTTTGTGGTTTTGATTTGCATTTCCCTGATTAGTGATGCAGAGCATTTTTTTCATGTATCTGTTGGTCATGTGGATATTTTCTTTGGAGATATATCTATTGCTGATTTAAAAAAAACTCTCAGCAAGCTAGATAAAGAAATTTTCTCGACGTGATGGAAAGCATCCACAACAAAACATATAAACAATACTATATTTAATGGTGAAAGCGTAAATGTTTAAACCACATAGATTAGGACAAGAAAGGGATGTGTGTGTTCATCACCTCTATTCAACATTGTACTGGTGATCCTAGATTTTGAGTATAAATATTTAGGGGACAACTATTGTCACTGAAGCCCAAATCTTGGTCATCCTCAGAAAAAAAAAGTTGATTAGGTTGTATATAATCTAATTTTACTTGCTAATTTAATTTCTCTAAAATTGCAGCTTGTATCAACTCTAGAATTTATTGGGCACCTCCTAGGACATAAACACTGGAATTTGGTGAGAGACGTCAAATAGGAAAGAACCTGGCTCTGACATAAATTCAACACACGGAGGGGGACACATGTTATGAGACTGACCTGGCCTCTTCATCTCATAAAAGGGGTTCTTGTTGCTGGTAACACAGATTAAAACTATTTCAATTACATTCAAGACAAAAAGATTAGCAATGGTATGTAAGATGAAAAAATCACCCCGCAGGAAGACGAAAGTCTCACAAAAGGATATTTAAGCTAGCCAACACTTTGAAATTCAGGCAGAGATCGTGCTTTCTGGGTGAACTAAAGTAGCAAGAACAAAGTAGAGGCTCCAATTCTAGGAAAAATGGGCCCTAATAAGGTTTACAATCCAGAAACTCAAGATATCCAGACAGAAGGATGCAGTCTCCGCTTTCAAGGCAGTAGCAGTACCTGGATTACTAAGCCAATCCCCAACACAATCATAAACACAAATTTGATTGAGGAAGAAGCTTGCCCACCAGAAGATTTAGGTTATTACAAGGTAGAATGTGATAGAGAAAATGAGCATGGGACTGGAAAGAAAAGGAGGTAGCCCCATGATTACAACTGGAATATATGTGTCAGCGATGGTGCGGAAATAAGACTGAAGAGAGAGATCCTTAAACCCCACGTGCCTTACATCAGGACTAATCCTGGACACAGGCTGGAAAGCATAGCCTACAGGTGGTGAGGGAGGAGGAGTGGGCTCAGCTTTGAGAAGGAGAAGGAAATATGGCTGAAAACCAGATAGGGGTATTGAAATCACACAGAGGATTTGGGCCTTTGCTGCTGTCTGCCAGCAGCTGCCAGTAGTTCTCACACTTTGGCTGGCAACAAAATCACCTGGGGCAGTGGTGCGGAAGCGGGGGGAGTGTTGTAAAACCACAAGTGACCAGGCAAAAAACACCTGTATGTTTTCCAATTCAGTAAGTACAGAAATATTAATTGGAAAAAGGTGGAGGTCAGACATTGATAGTGCTGTGGACTGCTCCAGGGACGTAAGCATGATCTTTAGAGAGGTGACTCTAATCAGTTGAGGGCAACCACTGGACAGAAAGAGGTCCAGACCAACCGTACACAGAGACATCATACAACTACACTTTAGCAACCTCTCCAAATAACATGTCTCTTAGTGAAACTTGGGAGGTTGAAAGTTAAAAACATAAAATCCAGTGGCATTTATGTATCCTAGGCACTTACATTTGTCTGATTCTTCCAACTTGCCTTTGCTTGGTTGGAGTTTTGGGTAGATAAGAGGTGGATTTACATGTGCTAGTGTGACAACTTTGATACACTCATTTAGACATTGACCTACTATCTTGTTTGAAAGCTAAAACCCAAAGAAATTTGTCTTTTTACATAAAACAAATTCAGCCCTTGCCTTCCTTGTAGATTACATCTTCCACTAGCAGTAATAAAAAAGTAACAATATGCATAAGTCAAAGTATCTTCTTAGATCCTCTGTAGTGTTTTATTATTTAATTGTGTTAATTAAAGTAACTGTCTCAAAATTTCAAGGAATGCCTGAGAAGCAATTCATGTTCAAAGGCTGCCCTCTTGTGACAATGTGTTGTATGCTTTACTGTAAAAGTAACCTTATTTTACCTTATAACCTCTACAATCCAATTCATAACAGCATAAAAAGGAAACAAAACCTTACATAATTTTGAATTTTAAAACGTACCTTGTTTGTATGGCTCCTTTAGCTAATGAATAGTCAATTTGGTAAATATTCCAGTGAGTTGAAGGTTTGAATCTATCTCACTTAACTAGCTTGATGAATGTATTTCTAAACCTATAGAACCCACTCCTCTGCTTTTAAAAAATTAAAGTTAGCTGTAGATTGAGATGTCAGTGACACAGTTTATAGAACATAACTTAGATTGTCATCTACATTACTGTAACTACAAGTACCACCCTCAGATGGAAGAATAAGTTTTATCAGTGAACATCTCTAATTGAACTATAAATGGTGTATGTCTTCTGGCTTTTAGAAGCTCTTGGTCTAACACAGGGGATATATGATGTAAAAATTACAAAGCAAGGTCACTCACGGTGGCTCATGCCTGTAATCCCAGCACTTTGGGAGGCCAAGGCGGGTGGATCACAAGGTCAGGAGATCGAGATCATCCTGGCTAATATGGTGAAACCCCATCTCTACTAAAAATAGAAAAATTAGCTGGGTGTGGTGACACACGCCTGTAGTCCCAGCTACTCAGTAGGCTGAAGCAGGAGAATCGCTTGAACCCAGGACACGGAGGTTGCAGTGAGCTGAGATAGCACCACTGCACTCCAGCCTGGTGGCAGAACAAGACTCCATCTCAAAAATAAATAAATAAATAAATAAATAAATAAATAAATAAATAATAAAATAGCAATGACTATAATGTTTTGTGATGTTAAACTTTGAGAGCTTTTTTTTTTCTTTCTTTTCCCAAGTGCCTTTCCCAGTTCCAGGAGCAGAGTTATTCTAAGCCCACTGATGTAAAGGAATAGAAAGAAAAGGTTTGTTGGAAAACCTAATAACCTGCTATTTTTCTGTCTTTTGTTTTTTAAAAGCTTGAGCATTTGGGAGAATTTGGAAAGATTGTGGAGTAAGTGCAAAGAAGGAATTTGCTAACAAAAATCATATAGGGTAAAATGAGTTTTTTCCAGGTTAGAAAATATCCACTCCCTACCCTCCTACATTCCTTTCCTATGGTTAAGAAGAGGAAAAAACAAAGGCCTCTTGGTGAGCAGTGGTGACTTAGGCAGTTTCTTAGAAATATTCTAGAAGGCATAGTCATCTTTTTAAAAAAATAGCTACAAGGATATGTCTAAGCAGAAGGGTCCATGGGCCAAATTAGGTATAGATTTTTGCATTCCAAATATGGTAAAGAAGAAGCAGGAAGCTGGGGCTCCTATACAGGTCACACAGAAATGGACAAGGAAGAGGCCAGAAGCAGCTTGTGGGGACAAGATGTCAAGCCCCAAATGTTTAACCCACCAACCATCCTCCAAATTCTGGCTCTGTTTAACAAGGCTGTGGTCTGACACTACATGCCGCCTCAGTGACTAAAGCATAATTTCCCGTCTCCTGGGAGTGTTGACAGCTGACTCCTGGCAACAATACTCACAGCACAGTAAAGTTCCTTCATCCAAGTTCATGTCCCTTCTCAAGGCATCCCACATCCGAGAACTGCTTGGTACAGAAATATAATGGCCTGGTTTTCTTGCTCCAATTCGAGGTCATTAGGTAAACTCACCAAGATCCTTGTAGAGTGGACTGCGGCCATGATAGTGATTGCATTCCAGCCGACTTCCTGCTCCACCCAATCCTATTGCTTTCACTCTTCCACAGGTGTTGGGAATATCATTTCAACCTCCTTGCATGCAAATCTCCAACTCGGAGTCGGCTTCCTAGGACACCTGACTGGTGATATCTCTATCACTATCACAGTACTTAGAGGGGAGCATCTTAAAATGATTGAAGGCTAACTGCCCTAACAGCACAGGCAGATGATGGCTTAAAATAGAATTTAAGTGGATTTATAAAAACATGAAAAAAGTTGACATTGCACGCTCATATGAGCTTATGGATCAAACCATGTGTATGATTTCTAAGATCCCTCGTGCAGTATATATTTGCACTGTTTATAAATGACATCCCCTTGAATTGAATTCAGTGCAATTCAAAACAGTAATTTGTGGGAAAAATTAGATATGCAGATAGCCTGGACTCTAGAGAAGCACACATCATTTGGAGAATAATAGTGAACCGGCTGGTCTATGAGGGAAGAAAACAGAGTGAATATAGACTATTAGTGAACAAGGATATTTTCCCATGTATATTCAAATTAAAGTGAACTTCTTTAGAGAATTGTGCCTTAGAAAGAAAAAGTATTTCCCTATATTTGAGTCCTCACAAGTTTTCCTACGATGAGTGCTTTTGTGATTATTTTGAATAACAAAGTAATATTTAAAGAAACTCTCTTGCCCTGAATGTACTTTAATTTATGTCAATTGAAGTTGCATATAGAGATCATCAAAGTCAAGCTACAAGAAAAAGAGGAACATAACTTAGCAAAGACTTAGAGGATTAGTCCTAATAGTGTGAAATCAAAATTTCAAGTGAGGGAATAAATTCAGCTTTTAATGATTACTTAAATGAAGTTTAACTCTAGCAGGATCTACAAGAAATTGGCAACCTTTGGCTTCAGTAATAGAAACTCAGGATATATGCCCTTCAGTGCTTTTGCATTCTGCATCATATTGAGAGACACTCCTTTAAACAAGCAATAAGAAACTTCCTGTGACAACATAATAAATTCAAAAAGTTCTGTAACTCAGACAATTTAGATAGAAGTCATAACTTTGGCCTATAAAGCCCTGTTCACCCTAAAGATGGATTAAACAATGAAAAAGATATTGATATCAAAAATTCAATCAGGAATTTGATTAAAGCATTTCATTAAATGTGATAATTTCTTAGTATATTATCTTACATATGCAATATTCATGTGTAACAAATTATATACAAGTAAACATTTGACCATATTATCTGCAGCATAATTTACATATCAATTTACATATTCAGTTTTGCTTACATGAAAACTTGGATCTTCTCAATAAGAAAATTTGTGAAATCTTTAATTCCTCATCCCCAGGAATGTAAATAAATAAATATAAATACTGTAAGTCAGTGATTTTTTCCTAGGAAGACAGTAAAAATACTTTACGTGCCTTCTCATTGTAAACCTAAATAACAAACAGAGAAAGGCTCTCTAAAGGAAAAAGACACATCTTAGGGAGGAGGGCACTGTAATGGGAATATGCATGACAAAGCAAACTATATAGATTCAAATGGTAAAGGAAGACAAGGTCTTTAAAAGAAAAATGATCAACCTGGAAGTACGGGGGAGTAGAAAAAAATAAATAAGGGAAAAATGAAGGGGCTTCTATAATAGTTTTGATATAGTTACCTTTGACTATAAAGATCAACAACAAGGTCAATATCAGTTGAAGTTTGGGCAGGCGGTTGCTGGATAGATGTCCTCACAGAAGTGTATTTTGTGTAAGGTTGCTATGGCCTTTGTGCAGGGTTGTGGTTTTGTGGTATTTTGTGATAGTTTTTATCAGGCCTAGAAGCATGAGAACCCTCTCTTCAAGGCCTTCTCTGAATCTATTTGTTCAGGTTTCTTCTTCTCTTTTTAAACATTATTGACAGTTTTGATTCTGATAACTTTCATATCATGATCCCTAATTTCAAAAAAAAATTAAACGTGTAACTTATTTATGATGTATTTGATAGGCTTGGATTTGTGAATCACCTCTACTGTCTATAGTGGTAGATATATCTGAGCCTGCTTACACAGGACTTCCATCAGATTCTCTCTTCAGTGGAATGGAAGAGGGGGTTTTGGAGAAGGGGATGAAGGAATTGTGCTGCATCAGAGGTCCCCACCTAACAGCCACAGGGACTTTTTCTCTGCTCTGGCCAGGCCGTTGTATTAGGCTGATACAAAAGTAATTTTGGTTTTGTCATTGAAAGTAATGAGACCATCTGACTTACAATGTCTGTGCCGTAACCAGCTCCTAATAGCCTCCTAGGACAGCTTTGCCCTGACATACACTGTCGTGTAGCCACGTCTGCTTTGTAACTCCTGAGGTAGCTGCCACCATGACCAATGCCTTCTCATCTTTACTCTACATGCAGGTAACAGTTATAATTATATCTCTCTGTATTCACAGAACATTTAGTACATCTGGGACTTCTACAAAATTTCCCTAGCTGATTTTGGTGTTCTAGTGTCCTGGCAGCTCTAGCCATGTAGGGATGATGCTTTATCAGAATTTCTGTTGAGTTTTTTGCTTTTTCTCACAAACTGATTCCACTTTTCCCACATACATTTGACAATTCATTTGAACTCATTTATTCTAAACCCATTATTTTTTGTCTATTATTTAATAGGGAGGGGGGCGAGGGATAAAAGCTAACAAATAAGGTGCAGTGTACACTGTTCGGGTGATGGGTGCACCCAAATCTCACAAATAACCAGTAAAGAAGTTATTCATGGAACCACATACCACCATACCCCAATAACCTATGGGAAAAAAAATAAAAAATACAATAAAAAAGAGTCAGAAAAAAAGGAAATAATCACTGTACTTACCATGACACTTAGAAAGGTGGTTAGCATTATTTGTGTCACCTAATAATATTATTATTTTTTCTTTATGCTACAAACTAGCTCTGCTATTACAATCACTACTATTTGAAGTGTTACTAAATTAAATTAAATTTATTGTATCCTTCTGGACTCAGAAATGGGGGTAAATGCTAAGACAATTTCAGAATATGATCACATATTAAAGGCATATTATATGGGGAAAATGTGATTTTTAAAAAATAGAAATTGGTAGAGAAACAGTTTTTGGGTCTCTTTAATTTCCGCAATTTTGCAAGTTTGGACGCTGACTTTCTTGTTCCAAATGATTGTTTTCAAGAATGTTTGTATAGAAAACAGCCTTGGAATAGAAAGCCAGTACCTCCTTCTGGAACAAAGGAAAAGTTTATTTACTGTCTAGTATAATGCAGATAATTTCTCCCTCTTGGGAAGGGTACAGCCAAGTGAACTTCCCATAATACAAGTTGGGGTTTCTTGAGCTTGGGTTTTTCTTCCACAGTGTAATGTGCAGGTGCCACTTGGCTCTCTTTGTGTTATCCTGGGAAAGCTGATGGCTGTAGGTGCATGTTTATTTTGGGGTTCTCTATTGTGTTTCATTGGTCTTTGTATCTGTTTTCATATCGCTACCATGCTATTTTGTCTATTGTGGCCTTAGGGTATAGTATGAAGTCAAGTAATGTGATGTCTCCAGCTTTGTTCTTCTTGCTTAGGTTTCCTTTGGTTGTCTGGGCTCTTTAAAAATCCATATGAAATTTAGAATATTTTTTTTTCTAATTCTGTGAAAAACGACATTGGTTGTTTCATAGGAATAATGTTGAATGTATAGATTGCTTTTGGCAGTATAGCCATTTTAACAATATTGATCATTCTAATCCATGAGCATGGAATAGTTTTCCATTTGCTTTGTGATCTATGATTTCTTTCTGCAGTGTTTTGTAGTTCTCCTTTTAGATATCCTTTACCTCCTTGCTTAGACATATTCTTCTTTTATTTTATTTTATTTTGGGGGTTGCTGTTGTAAACAGGATTGCACTCTTGATTTACCTCTCAGTTTAAACATTTTTGGTGTACAGAAATGCTACTTCTTTCTATATGTTGATTTTTTTAATCCTGAAAGTTTGCTGAAGATTTTTTTTATCAGTTCTAGGAGCCTTTTGGCACAGTCTTTATGGATTTCTAGGTGTAGAATCATATCATCAGTGAAGAGAGATAATTTGTCTTCATTTCCTATTTGGATGCCTTTTATCGCTTTCTCATGCCTGATTGCTCTGGCTAGGACTTGTTAAACAGGAGTGGTGAGAACAGGCATCCCTATTTTATTCCTGTTCATAAGGGGAATGTGTTGGGAGAAAAGCTGAGTGTTGGAAGAGAAGCTGAGGCAGGACCATATGTTTCTCATTCACTTGATACACCGTTTCTTTTCAACCCTTAAATCCTCACCACCTGTTTGTTTGAGCACCAACAAATAGCGTAGGCTCCCAGAGCTTGGGGACTTTGCAGACTCCACACTCGTGATGGTCTCCTGGTCCCACTTTCTCTCTCAAACTGTCTTTTTCTCATTCCTTTGACTCTGCCGGACTTCATCACCCCCATGACCTAGTGTTGGGTCTGATCAACCCAACATTCCTGGCACCCAACATGGGGTGACAAAGACCCGGTGAAGTAAGGCTGGAGCATGTGAAAGCAGAGGACACAACATCAAAAGACACCCGAGGACATACAAAGATGGGGAATGAAATTTAGTACTTAGAATTTGTTATCACTCTTTAGTACAGTAAAGCAGTTTTGCCCATGGTTTCCAGAACAAAGGACTATGAAGTTGGATGAATGGGAGAGAATTGGAAGAGATTTTTTAAAAGGCATATAAAGATGGAGCAGAAATTCCAGGTTCTGTATGGTCAGTGTGGGCACTAATAAAGGCAGCCCTTGAGCCATTTCAAACAGATGATGAGGCAGACTCAGATGAGGAAGAGGAGGATGAGTGTAAAAAACTAACTTCAAATTCTGAGTGTGGGGAGCAGCTACCAGAGGAGATTAAAGAAAAGAAAGAAAAACTTTAAAAAGTATGTTTTACTAGCCCGTTGGCTCCACCTGCCGAATTAAGTGAATGGCCACCTCCTCTCTCTCCTCTAAATGGGTGAGAAAATAAATTGGCTGAAAAACTTACTGCTCCTGTAGTTACAACATTAAAATCTGGAGCAATTGGTGGTGCTAGACAAAATTCTATTCAAAAAGCTAAAGCCAAGGGAGACCTTGAAGCATGGCAATTTCCCGTTACTATAATCCAGCAAGTAGGACAGAATATAGCTAATTAGGCTGCTTTCTCTTTTAAGTTACTAAAGAATTTAAGCAAGCCATTAGTCAATATGGACTGAACTCTCTTTTTGTGCAAACTTTATTTAAAAATATGGCTCTTGATAATAGATTACTACCATATAATTAGGATACTTTGACAAAACCTGTTCTCACTCCATCTCAGTACTTGCAGTTTAAAACTTGGTAGGCTGATGAAGCTCAAACTCAGGCAAAAGAAAACACACAAGTGCAGCCACCTGTGCCTGTTTTCTTTGATCAGTTAATATGAGTTGGCCCTAACTGGGGTTGATTAGAGAATCAAGCACTAATGGAAGATGTTGCCATTGTTCAGCTGTGCTTCATGTGCTTACATGCATAGAAAAGGATAAATGTTACAGGGGAAAAGTATCCTTATTTCAGTTCTGTCTGACAAGGACCTAAAGAACCATATGTTAATTTTATTGCTCAGCTCCAAGAGGCTGTGTATAAAGCTGTAAATGATCAAAACAGCTCAGGATGTTGTAATACAGCTTCTTGCATACAATAATACTAATACACAGTGTCAAACTGCTATTAGATCCCAGAGAGGGCCCATTTAACTAAATATATTAAGGCTTGCGATGGCATTGGAGATAACTTACATAAGGTTATTCTTTTAGCTCAGGCTGTGGCTAGATTAAGAGTAAGGAAAAAATATGCTTCATTTCTCAGGCTCTTTCCTTAATTGTGGGCAAATTGGACACAAGAAAGGAATGTAGAAAGGAATTCAAAAGACGAAAACTACTACCATCAATCAACAGAAAAGTCCCAATGTACGTCCCTGGTGTAAGAAAGACAATCACTAGGCAAGTCCGTGTCATTCTAAATTTAGCAAAGATGGACAACCTCTTTCAGGAAATAGGAAGGGGGACCCGCCTCAAGCCTCTCAACAAACTGAGGCAAACCCAGCACAGCCACTGCCCTTACAAATGTATAGCAATTGTCCCCCGCCTCAGCAAGCAGTGCTGCTGTAGACCTCTACAGCACAATTCCCATCTCCTTACTTCCTGGGGAGCCACCAAAGATGGTCCCCACAGGAGTTAGTGCACCCTTACCCAGAAGAACTGTTGGGAACAATCCTCCCCAAATCCGGCCATAAACTGGCCCCAAAACTGGCCATAAACAAAATCTCTGCAGCACTGTGACATGTTCATGATGGCCATAACACCCACGCTGGAAGGTTGTGGGTTTACTGGAATGAGGACAAGGAATACCTGGCCCGTCCAGGGTGGAAAACCACTTAAAGGCATTCTTAAGCCACAAAAAATAGTATGAATGATCTGTGCCTTAAGATTAAGGGATACTTTTAGTTAATCTAATATCTATAGAAACAATGCTAATGACTGGCTTGCTGTTAATAAATACGTGGGTAAATCTCTGTTCAGGGCTCTGCTCTGAAGGCTGTAAGACCCCCCACCCCGATTTCCCACTTCACACCTCTATATTTCTGTGTGTGTGTCTTTAATTCCTCTAGTGCTGCTGGGTTAGGGTTTCTCCAACAGACCTGGTCTCAGCAAGTGGTGCCCATACATGGGGACTCGAATACAGGTCAAAGGATCACTGGAGCAACGACTGGAGAATGTGGAACTAGCTGGAGGACACCCGAGTACTCTTAAAGCAATCCCCGTGGTGAGTTAGAAGGGGAGCTCTGAAGCATCAGGGTAGCAATAGGACAAGTGTGGGCTGTGGTTCGTTCTACCTTGGAACTTTTTCACACTGATGATGAGGAGAAAGGAGAGTATAACAAAGTAACAGTAGAGGTTACAGACCAGGTTTATTTGTCACCTAAAGCTAAAGCATAAAAGGAGGGAGAGGTTCATCCCTACCCTTCTGCACACCGTCATTATTATTTTGAAGAAAACGACCCTCCAGATCTTTCTTCTCTGGAGGACACTGGGTGAAAAGTAGTTTCCCTGGTGACTCTTCGAGCAGCGCCTTGAGCGACTGCTCTTAGTTCTATTCAGGCAGGAATACAGCAAGCTAGACAAAAGTGGGATTTAGAGGCTTGGCAGTTCCCTGTTTGAATACACTCCCCAGATCAACAGGGAAATATTATAGCTACATTTGAGCCTTTTCCTTTTAAATTACTCAAAAAATTTAAACAAGCTATAAATCAGTTTGGACCAGGTTCTCCTTTTGAAATGGGACTGTTAAAGAATGTTGCTGTTTCCAGTCGGACGATTCCTACTGACTGGGACACTCTTACTCGAGCTTGTCTAACTCCTGCTCAGTTCTTACAGTTTAAAACTTAGTAGGCAGATGAAGCTTCCATTCAGGCTGCTCGCAATTCCTGGGCCCAACCTCAGATTAATATAACTGCAGACCAACTTTTGGGGGTTGGTGGCTGGGCTGGTTTACATGCACTAGTGGTCATGCAGGATGATGCCATAGAACAGCTTAGAGGAGTGTGCATTAGAGCTTGGAAAAAATCACTTCATGTGGAGAACAATACCCTTCCTTTAGTGCTATAAAACAGGGACCAAGAGAACCATATGTGGATTTTATAGCTTGGTTACAGGAGTCTCTTAAAAAGATGATTGCAGATTTGGCTGCTTAGGATATAGTGTTGCAGTTATTGGTTTTGACAATGCTAATCCTTATTGCCAGGCTGCTCTGCGACCTATCAGAGGGAAAGCACATTTAGTTGATTATAACAAGGACTGTGATGATATCAGAGATAATCTACATAAAGCTACTTTGTTGGCACAGGCGATGGCAGGACTGAGAGTGGATAAAGGAAATACTCTATTTCCTGGAGCTTGTTTTAACTGTGGGAAGCGTGGTCATACTAAAAATAATGTAAAAAAAAATCACCGAGTCAGGCCACCAGATAGGGGAAAAAGAAAACTGCTGATCCTGAAATATGTCCAAAATGTAAAAAAGGAAATTTTGGGCTAATCAGTGTCACTCTAAGTTTGATAAAGATTTGAACCCGATTTTGGGAAACTCCCTGAGGGGCCCATCCCAGGCCCTGTTCTAAACCAGGGCATTTCCAGCTCAGGCCATTCCCTCACCCCCATACGTTATCTGTCTCCCACCACAGCCCATAGTGCTGCAGTAGATTTTTGCTGCACAATAGCTGTGAGCCTTCTGCCTGGGGAACCCCCGCAAAAGGTCCCAACAGGAGTCTGTGGACCGTTGCCAGCAGGGACAATGGGATTACTTTTAGGAAGGTCTAGTTTAAGTTTAAAAGGGGTACAAATATACACTGGAGTCATTGATTCAGATTACAATGAGGAAATTCAAATTGTGATATTTAGTTCTGTTCCCTGGAAAGCACAGCCAGGAGTGCGCATAGCACAGCTCCTGAGTGAGCCGTATGTGGGAATGGGAAAAAGTGAAATTAAATGAACTGGAGGATTTGGAAGCACAAATAAAAAAGGCAAGGCAGCTTATTGGGTAAATCAAATTACTGATAAACATCCTATCTGTGAAATAACTATCCAGGGAAAGAACTTTAAAGGTTTGGTAGATACTATTTTTTTTTTGTAGGAGTGGACATTTCAATTTTTTCTCTATAGCACTGGCCGTCCATGTGGCCAATTCAGCCTACTCAATTTAACACAGTGGAAACTGCTAAAGCTTTAGAAGTGTATCAAAGTAGCTATACTTTGCATTGTGAAGGGCCCGATGGACAACCTGGGACTGTTCAACCAATTGCAACTTCTGTACCTATAAATTAACGGGGGAGAGATTTATTATGACAATGGGGAGCACAAGTTCTAATTCCATAACAATTACACAGCCCTCAAAATCAACATATGATGCACGAAATGGGGCATGTCCCTGGTATAGGAGTAGAAAAAAAATTGCAAGGTTTGAAAGAACTGCTTCAAACGGAAAGACAAAGTTCCTGCCAAAGATTAGGATACCATTTTTGATGGTGGCCATAGTTAAGCCTCCAGAACCTATACCTTTAAAATGGTTAACAGATAAGCCAATTTGGATAGAATCATGGCTGCTAAGCAAAGAGAAACTGGATGCTTTAGAGAAATTAGTTACTGAACAATTAGAAAATGGGCACATAGCTCCAACATTTTCCCCTTGGAATTCTCCAGTTTTCATAATTAAGAAAAAATCAGGTAAATGGAGAATGTTAACTGACTTAAGAGCCATCAATTCAGTTATACAACCTATGGAAACATAACAGCCAGGATTGCCTTCTCCTACTATAATTCCAAAAAATTGGCCTTTAATAGTCACAGATTTAAAAGACTGTTTCTTTACTACCCTTTTAGCTGAGCTAGACTGTGAACCGTTTGCATTTACAATTCCTGCAGTAAACAACCTGCAGCCTGCTAAGCGTTTTCATTGTTTCACAGATGGGTCTAGTAATGGTAAAGCTTCTTATTCTGGATCAAAAGGTAAAGTTTTCCAGACACCCTATACTTTAGCTCAAAAGGCAGAGCTTGTAGCTGTAATTGAGGTATTGACTGCTTTTGATATGCCTGGTAATGTGATTTCTGATTCTTCATACATGGGTCATTCCACACAGTTAATTGAAAATGCTCAGTTAAGATTTCATACAGATGAACAACTGATAATAAAAACAAAAAAGGGGGAGAAACAGGGATTACGGGATAGCCCATACACAATTGAATCTTGCATTATTAACTTTCAAATTTTTGAGCCTGCCCAAAGGCCAGATGTTACCAGCAGCTGAACAGCATCTACAGAAACCAGCTGCAAAGACAGAAGCAGAACAACTGGTTTGGTGGAGAGATCCAATAACAAAAAGTTGGGAAATAGGTAAAATTATAACTTGGCATAGAGGTTATGCTTGTGTTTCTCCAGGACCGAATCAACAACTGATTTAGATACCATCAAGACACCTGAAATTTTATCATGAGCCAGATGCTGAGGAAGAGATAAAAAGCACAATCATCATTGAAATTAGAGCTTCTGGCTGGGCGCGGTGGCTCACGCCTGTAATCCCAGCACTCTGGGAGGCCGAGGTGGGCGGATCACAAGGTCAGGAGATCGAGACCATCCTGGCTAACACGGTGAAACCCCGTCTCTACTAAAAATACAAAAAATTAGCTGGGTGAGGTGGCGGGCGCCTATAGTCCCAGCTACTCAGGAGGCTGAGGCAGGAGAATGGCATGAAACCGGGAGTCAAAACTTCAGGTTTTGCCAAGAATGACACTGTAAATGTAACAAAGCTTCTGTGCTTGTTAGCGAACACCAAATCAGCTACTCTCCTGTATTCGGAGATCAGGATGAAATGAAAAGAACAAGCAGGCCGGGCGTGGTGGCTCATGCCTGTAGTGCCAACACTTTGGGAGGCTTAGGTGTGCGGATCACCCGAGGTTGGGAGTTCGAGACCAGCCTGACCAACATGGAGAAACCCTGTCTCTACTAAAAATGCAAAATGAGCTGGGCGTGGTGGCACAAGCTTGTAATCCCAGTTTGGGAGGCTGAGACAGGATAAGTGCTTAAACCTGAGAGGTGGAGGTTGCAGTGAAGCAATATTGCACCATTGCACTCCAGCCTGGGCAACAAGAGTGAAACTCCATCTCAACAAAAATAAAAAATAAAAAAAGACCCCCAGCCTTGTCTATACTGTGGGGTTTCAGTTTCAACCCAGGGGGGTCCTGGTTGGGTTAGAACCCTGAATCTTGTTTGAGTTCGTATCCTAAAGAATAAAGGGAATAAAGGCTGTAGCCACTGAGCTACTCAATCTGGTCTGGTTCTGGCTTTTGTGTGTCTGTCTGTATTTTTGGTCTAAATATTTGGCCCAACAGAGGTTAAAGGCTTTGATGTTCTCAGCAAAAGCCTTGTGAGATCTCTAGTTTATCTGTGTGCTCAACTGGAACAAAGAGACTCCATAAACTAGAAAAACCTAAAGAAAATGGCACGCGTGAAAAAATGAGAGCCAACTCCTGTTGGTTGTTCTGTCCACCTCCCTCTCTCACTCCTCCTTCTGCCTTTGCTGTGGTCCCATGGTGTTTCTGTCTTTCTGGGGACCTGAGATTCAGTGTAGGAGTGAAGTCCATGATTTTAAAGCCTTCATGTCTCTGCTTTTTAACTCTGCCTGCTTTGCTAAGCTCTTATAATGAGAAATAAACCATTCAGAACAGAAAAAACAGGGCATCAGAAAACCAACTTCAGGCAGAGCTCCGGCAAGTACCTCCCTAGAGGGGAAGGGCTTACTAAAGGAGATTTAATCTTGAAAAGGCCAAAATGAGAAGCTCTAACCTTAAGCTTGCTAGGTTTTCTGGGACTCGAGCTGGCTATATATTATGGACCATTCTAGCCACACACATACACACACACACACACACACAAACAGACACACTTTTTTGAGACAGAGTCTTGCTCTGTTGCCCACGCTGGAGTGCAGTGGTGTGATCTTGGCTCACTGCAACCTCCACTTCCCAGGTTCGAGCAATTCTCCTGTCTCAGCCTCCTGAGTAGCTGCGATTACAGGTGTGCGCCACCATACCCGGCTAATTTTTGTGGTTTTAGTAGAGATGAGGTTTCACCATGTTGGCCAGGCTGGTCTCAAACTCCTGATCTCAAGTGATCCACCTGCCTTGGCCTCCCAAACTGCTGGGATTACAGGTATGAGCCACTGTGCCCAGCCTATACATACATATATATACTTTTTTTTCTTTTTCTTTTTGACGTAGTGTCTTGCTCTGTTGCCCAGGATGGAGTATGGTGGTACAATCGCGGCTCACTGCAACCTCTGCCTCCCAGGTTTGAGTGATTATCCTGCCTCAGCCTCCTGAATAGTTGGGACTACAGGTGCACACCACCACACCCAGTTAATTTTTGTATTTTCAGTAGAGATAGGGTTTTGTCACGTTGACCAGGCTGGTCTCAAACTCCTGGCCTCAAGTGACCCACCTGCCTCAGCCTCCCATAGTGTTGGGATTACACGCACACTTTAAACCTGATGGCCAAATTACATGAAAGAAAATTCAGAACTCAAATAGTTACTATTTTTAAAAACCCTAAAATGAAAAATTCTCAGTTCTTTTGCCTATCTATTTTTTTTCCCTGCCTACTTTGAATCTGCTGATTTGTCTACTGGTGTTGAGATAAGACTTACTGTCTGTGGTGTTACCAATTCAAGGTTATTTGGCTGAAGAAAAACAAAAGAATGAAACAATTCTTTATTTTTTTTTCTCTTTTTGAGATAAGGTCTCACTCTAAGGTCTCACTCTGTTCCCCAGACTGGAGTGCAGTAGTGGGATCATAGCTCACTGTTATCTCAACCTCCCAGGCTCAAGCAATCCTCCTGCCTCATCCTCTCTAGTAGTTGGTACAATAGGCATGCACTACCATGCCTGGCAATTTTTTATCTGATTCTTAGTAGAGATTAGGTCTCACTATGTTGCCCAGGCTGGTCTCAAACTCCTGAGCTCAAGTGATCCTCTTGCCTCAGCCTCTCAAAGTGCTGGGATACAGGTATGAACCATTGTGCCCAGATAAAAGAGAGTTCTTTTATAAATACAAATAATTTAAAAAGTATTGATAAAATAAAAATAGAAATGTCTTCAGAATTGTCGGCATACATTTTTGACTGTGTTTTATATTTACATTTGCTAGATATTTTAAGGTGCTAGGGTTTGGCATGAAGGTTATAAAACTATAAACACAGAAAAAAAGAATATTTGTTTATGTGATTTTTTAAATACATAAGACCAATTTAATACGGTTTGTTGAACAAAAATAATGGAATTTTCTGAGTTATTGGTAAAATACACATGTATTTAACTTTGAAGTCCTCACTTACGTGAACACCTGATATTCACAGGCTATAACATGGTTAACAAGAAAAAAACCTAGAAATGATGACTAGCTTTGTCTAATACCTCAGTTCTCACAAATACTCTAGATAAACTGTCAAAAATAAGTAAATGTAAATGGATAAATGTCTATACAAGACATCTTAATGTATTTTTGAAATTTTTTTGAGACAGTGTCTCTGTCTGTCACCCAGGCTGAAGTGCAGTGGCATGATCACAGCTCACTGCAACCTTGACCTCCTGTGCTCAAGGGATCCTCCCACCTCAGCCTCCCAAGTAGCTGTTAATTACAGGCATGCACCACCATGGTCAGCTAACTTTTATTTTTTTTGTAGAGTCAGCATCTCACTATTTTGCTCAGGCTGGTCTCATGATACTCCTGCCTTGGCCTCCTAAAGTGTTGGGATTACAGGTGTGAGCCACCATGCCCAGCCTATTTTTGAAATTTTAGTTATGTTAAATTAAATAATAGATACTCATTAAATATCTGGGTTATTTCCAATTTAAAACTTATGTTTTAGCCCAGGCACTGTGGCTCACGCCTGTAATCCCTGCACTTTGGGAGGCCAAGGTTGGTGGCTCACCCGAGGTCAGGAGCTCAAGACCAGCCTGATCAACATAGTGAAACCCCATCTCTACTAAAAAATACAAAAAATTAGCCAGGTGTGGTGGTGGGTTCCTGTAATCCCAGCTACTTGGGAGGCTGAGGCAGGAGAATTGCTTGAACCTGGGGGACGGAGGTTGCAGTGAGCTGAGATAACACCATTGCACTCCAGCCTGGGCAACAAGAGCGAAAATCCATCTTAAAAAATATGTTTTAGGAACACATAATTCTAAATTATGAAATTATTCTCATATGTAAGATACTGCTATATGACAATTCAAGATTTCTTGCTTCCTAGGTTTTTTCTTAAAATAAGGGTTACTAAGTGTTAATATCTTGCTAGATATATGTGATTAAGACTACTAGATACAAGAGAAACAATTCTATATGCAAAATGTATACCGGTTTTTGTTTCAGAAAAAGTAAATTCGCTTAGAGATTTTTAAGGATTTTTTTAAATTGAAGGAATAAAAAAGATAGATAAAACTAAATGTGTATAAAAAGTTGGGAAAGATGAAAAAATTATACAAGGTTATTAAAAGTTTATGTAAATCTTACATCGAGGTCAAAACTGATTGAGATCAGATAGTTTATAAAGTTTATTTAAATTAGCTGTAATATTAAAAACATAGTGATAAAAAACTAAAAATTTTGGTTAAAACAACAAGGTTTTCTTAAGGTATTTATTTGCTCATAATAAGAGGTAATAAATATTGACTTTTAATCCTGAAATCTGTTACTATAAAAACTTTTCAGATTTGTATATCAGAAGTTCAACTTTTCCTGTACTTTCATGTTACACATGACTCACAGATCACATCATTGTCTCCTGTTCCTTCTTGAGAAGGAATAAAAGGTTTGGGTTTCCTGCTTGGCTGCGATGATAACTCCTTCAGATTTTTCATCAGGTCTAATTTTGTACTCTTGGCTTTTAAATATGTCTTAATTACTTCATGTAACCAGGAAACTTCCATGCTATCATTGTGAGCTATGGATCCCCACTGCTCTATGCTCTGGTTTTCCTGTTTACATTCCTTTGTAATATTATGCTCACTCATGACCCTGGACACACTCTTTCTATGTCTAAATTCAAGTCTCCTTATCATCGGAATTGACTTCCAAGTGATTTAAATTAGCTTCCCGTAAGAAGACACAGTTATGCCACAGGAGTTTTACCCTTTAAATGACTGGCCTGTAATAAAGATTTTAGGTTTTATCAAGATAATCCATGTGTTGCCTTTATTTTTTTTTAATTACTTGGGAAAACTGAGGGTTTTCAGTTTTCACATCCATGTAACCTTCTATGTTGCTTTTGATGTCTTTTGGTTGTCATGCTAATTAAATGAATGACTGTTATTTAAAAATGACATGTGGCTGTGTGCAGCGGCTCTTGTCTGTAATTCCAGCCCTTTGGGAGGCCAAGGTGGGTGGATCACTTGAGCCCAGGAGTTCAAGTCCAGCCTGGGCAAAATGGCAAAACCCCATCTCTACTAAAAATACAAAAGCTAGCTAGGTGTGGTAGCAAGTGCTCATAGTCCTGGCTACTTGGGAGACTAAGGTGGAGGATCACCTGAGCCTGGGAGGTTGAGGCTGCATTGAGCCATGATTTCACCACTGCACTCCAGCCTGGGCAATAGGGTGAGACCCTGTCTCAAATATATAATAAAATAAAAAACAATAAACTGTCATTCTGTTTTGGTCAAATGTTTTCAATTTTTTTACATCTTTGCTAAAATTTAGTTGATAACTTTGTATGGGAAGCATTGCCAAAAGATAAGTCTAAATCTTCTTTTTTTTTTCTCTAAGACAGAATCTTGCTTTGTCACCCAGGCTGGAGTGCAGTGGCGTGATCTAGGTTCACTGCAACCTCTGCCCCAAGGTTCAAGCGATTCTCCTGCCTCAACCTCCCAAGTAGCTGGGACTACAGACACATGCCACCATGCCCGGCTAATTTTGTATTTTTAGTAGAGACAAGATTTCTCCATGTTGGCGAGGCTGGTGTCGAAGTCCTGACCTCTGATGATCTGTCCAACTTGGCCTCCCAAAGTGTTGGAATTACAGGCATGAGCCACTGTGCCTGGTCTAAATCTTCTTTTGGTTACATTTACAGGTATATTATTAATATAAATATTTTAAATGTTATATAAATTATAAAAATCTAATATGGTATCAGTCATAATTTTGATGATGTTAAATATTCTCTAAAGTTGTATATGTATAGATATATTATTAATATAAATATTCTAAAGATTATATAAAATTTGTGGAAGTCTGATGGATCTGATGTGTTGCCGTCAGTCATGATTCTGGCTTTTATCTTAAAATGCTACATATAATAGAAATAACTAAATTTTCTCTCCAGTTGAGAACTTCCATTGGATTTTAACCAAAGGATATTCTAAGTTTTTTTCATCCACGGTGATTGTTTAAAGTTCTTCTCTAAAACCCTTTACAGGCCAGGCATGCTGCTGGAGGCTGTGCAGGGCACGGTGCTGGGCATGGTGCAGGGCATGGTGGCTCATGCGTGTAAAAATCCCAGCACTTTGCAAGGCCGAGGTGGGTGAATTGCTTGAACTCAGAAGTTGAAAGCATCCTGGGCAACATGGTAAAACCCTGTCTCTACAAAAATACAAAAATTAGCCAGCATGATGATGCATGCCTATGGTCCCAGCTACTTTGGAGGCTGAGGTAGGAGGATGGCTTGAGTTTACCAGGGAGAGATTGCGGTGAGCCAAGATCATGCCACTGCACTCTATCCTGAGTGACAGAGCCAGACAATGTCTCAAAAAAAAAAAAAAGCCTTTACAATCAGCTATCATCTAAATTACTTTTAATGGAAAGGACTCTGACAAGTTCTCTTAAATATGGTCTCAGATAACTTTGGGGATCATTCTGTTGGACTAGGAAAATCTTCCAGGACTCTAAAAAGCTGAATGAGAATTTCCAATTGAAATCAAGCAAAACACAAAAAACTGAATGAGAATTGCTATTTGAAATCAAGCAGAACAAGATTTAGTTACATGGGACTGAACTTATAAAAGAAGGAAAAGATTTTATTCATGGCTCTTCCATAGGAAACATTGTTGATTCTCTTTACGTTTTGTTTTCCAAAGTCAAGAATTTTTTTCTTTTCAGCTATTTTTAACTTACCATACATTAGATAAACTACATTGTGAACAAAAATTTGAGCCATTTATCTGTCTCTCTAACTGATTTCTCCAGAATTCAGAAGCCATTCGTGAGCATTCCTAAATTATGGCAATATAATTATTTGCATAATTTCAATAAGAATCTGTTTTTGGTAACAGGATTCAATTGGAGACACTGTTTGTTTTATCAAGGCTTTAACTCGAACGGCAGATACAACCAGACCACTTTAAGGAATTGAGGTTGACTCTATAGCACCAATACAAAGCCCCTTAGAATGACTGGCTTGGTGTCCTGTCTACAAGGGTCATTTAGAAAGTTGCTGTCCTTGTGGAAAGAAGTAAAGAATGTCAATTTCTGACGGGCCCAGGAACCTTAAGTTATTTGGGGAGCTTGAGAAGAGAGGACTACACCAATTCATAAAAGTATTACAGGAGGGCTGGCAAGATGTCTGAAAAGGAACAGTTCCGGCCTGCAGCACCCAATGAGATCAACACAGAAGGCAGGTGGTTCATGCATTTCCAACAGCCTCCACTGGTGATACCCATGCAAACAGGGTCTGGAGTGGACCTCCAGCATCTCAAGCAAACCTGCAGCAGAGGGACCTGACTGTTAGAAGGAAAACTAACAAACAGAAAGGAATAGTCTCAACATCACCAACATCAAAGAACAAAGATAAATAAATCCACAAAGATGGGGAGAAACCAGTGCAAAAAGGCTGAAAACTCCAAAAGCCAGAATGCCTCTTCTCCTCCAGAAGATCACAACTCCCCACCAGCAAGAGAACAAAACTGGACAGACAATGAGTTTGATGAATTGACAGAAGTAGGCTTCAGAAGGCGGGTAATAACAAACTCCTCCGAGCTAAAGGAGCATGTTCTAACCCAATGCAAGGAAGCTAAGAGCCTGAAAAAAAAAGGTAGAACGAATTGTAAACTAGAATAACCGGTTTAGAGAAGAATATAAATGACCTGATGGAGCTGAAAAACCGAGCAAAGGAACTTAATGAAGCATACACAAGTATCAATAGCTGAATCAATCAAGCAGGAGAAAGGATATCAGAGATTGAAGATCAACTCAATGAAATAAAGCAAGAAGACAAGATTAGAGAAAAAAGAGTGAAAGAAATGAACAAAGCCTCCAAGAAATAGAGGACTATGTTAAAAGACTGAATCTATGTTTGATTCGTGTACTTGAAAGTGACAGAGAGAATGGAACCAAGTTGGAAAACACTCTCAACTATATTATCCAGGAGAACTTCCCCAACCTAGCAAGACAGGCCAACATTCAAATTCAGGAAATACAGAGAACACCACTAAGATACTCCTGAAGAAGAGCAACCCCAAGACACAAAATCATCAGATTCACCAAGGTTGAAATGAAGGAAAAAATATTAAGGGCAGCCAGAGAGAAAGGTTGAGTTACCCACAAAGGGAAGCCTATCAGACTAACAGTGGATCTCTTGGCAGAAAGCCTACAAGCCAGAAGACAGTGGGGGCCAATATACAACATTCCTAAAGAAAAGAATTTTCAAGCCAGAATTTCATATCGAGCCAAACTAAGCTTCATAATTGAAGGAGAAATAAAATCTTTTACAAGCAAATGCTGAGAGATATTGTCACCACCAGGCCTGCCTTACAAGAGCTTCTGAAGGAAGCACTAAACACGGAAAGGAACAACTGGTAACAGCCACTGCAAAAACATACCAAATTATAAAGACCATTGACACTATGAAAAAATTGCATCAACTAATGAGCAAAATAACCAGCTAGTATCATAATGACAGGATCAAATTCATACATAACAATATTAACCTTAAATGTAAATGAGCTAAATGCCCCCAATTGAAAGACACAGACTGGCAAATTGGATAAAGAGTCAAGACCCATCAATGTGCTGTACTCAGGAGACCCATCTCATACACATAGGCTCAAAATAAAGGGATGGAGGAACATTTACCAAGCAAGTGGAAAGCAACAAAAGGCAGGGGTTGCAATCCTAGCTTCTGATAAAACAGATCTTAAGCCAACAAAGATCAAAAGAGACAAAGAAGGCGTTACATAATGGTAAAGGGATCAATGCAACAAGAAGAGCTAACTATCCTAGACATATATGCACCCAATACAGGAGCACTCACATTCATAAAGCAAGTTCTTAAAGACCTACAAAGAGACTTAGACTCCCACACAATAATAGTGGGAGACTTTAACACTCCACTCTCAATATTAGATCAATGAGACAGAAAATTAACAATAATATCCAGGACTTGAACTCAGTTCTGGACCAAGTGGACCTAAAAGATCTCTACAGAACTCTCCACCGCAAATCAACAGAATATACCTTCTTCTCAGCACCACATTGCACTTATTCTAAAATTGACCACATAATTGGAAGTAAAACTCTCCTCAGGAAATGCAAAAGAATTGAAATCATAACAAACAGTCTCTCAGACCACAATGCATTCAAATTAGTATGCAGGATTTAGAAACTCACTCAAAACCTCACAACTACATGGAAACTGGGTGACCTGCTCCTGAATGACTACTGGGTAAATAACTAAATGAAGGCAGAAATAAAGATGTTCTTCAAAACCAATGAAAACAAAGACACAACGTCCCAGAATCTCTGGGACACATTTAAAGCAGTGTGTAGAGGGAAAATTTATAGCACTAAATGTCCACAAGAGAAAGCAGGAAAGATCTAAAATTGACACCTTAACATCAAAATTAAAAGAACTAGAGAAGCAAGAACAAACAAATTCAAAAGCTAACAGGAGACAAGACACAAATAAGATCAGAGCAGAATTGAAGGAGATAGAGACATGAAAAACCCTTCAAAAAATCAATGAATCCAGGAGCTGGTTTTTTGAAAACATCAACAAAACAGACCACTAGCCAGACTAATAAAGAAGAAAAGAGAGAAGAATCAAATAGATGCAATAAAACATGATTAAGGGGATATCACCACTGATCCCACAGAAATACAAATTATCATCAGAGAATACTACAAAGACTAAACAAGGAAGAAGTGAAATTCCTGAATAGACCGATAACAAGTTCTGAAAATGAGGCATTAATTATAGCCTACCAACCAAAAAAATTCCAGGACCAGACGGATTCACAGCCGAATTCTATGAGAGGTACAAAGAGGAGCTGGTACCATTCCTTCTGAAACTATTCCAAACAATAGAAAAAGAGAGAATCCTCCCTAACTCACTTTATGAGGTCAGCATCACCTTGATACCAAAACCTCACAGGGACACAACAAAAAAAAGAAAATTTTAGGCCAATATCCCTGATGAGCATCGATGCAGAAATCCTGGATAAAATACTGGAAAACTGAATCCAGCAGCACATCAAAAAGCTTGTCCACCATGATCAAGTCAGCTTCACCCCTGGGATGCAAGGATGGTTCAACATATGCAAATCAATAAATGTAATCCATCACATAAAGGGAACAAATGACAAAAACTGCATGATTATCTCAATAGATGCAGAAAGGGCCTTTGACAAATTTCAACAGCCCTTCATGCTAAAAACTCTCAATAAACTGGTATTGATGGAACATATCTCAAAATAGTAAGTGCTATTTATGACAAGCCCACAGCCAATAACATACTGAATGTGCAAAAACTGGAAGCATTCCCTTTGAAAATCAGCACAAGACAAGGATGCCCTCTCTCACTACTCCTATTCAACATAGTATTGGAAGTTCTGGCCAGGGCAATCAGGCAAGAGAAAGAAATAAAGGGTATTCAATTAGGAAAAGAGGAAGTCAAATGGTCTCTGTTTGCAGATGACATGATTGTATATTTAGAAAACCCCATCATCTCCACCCAAAATCTCCTTAAGCTGATAAGCAACTTCAGCAAAGTTTCAGGATACAAAATCAATGTGCAAAAATCACAAGCATTCCTATACAGCAATAACAGACAAACAGAGAGCCAAACTGTGAGTGAACTCCCATTCACCATTGCTATAAAAAGAATGAAATACCTAGGAATGCAACTGACAAGGATGTGAAGGACCTCTTCAAGGAGAACTACAAACCACTCCTCAAGGAAATAAGAGAGGACACAAACAAATGGAAAATCATTCCATGTTCATAGATAGGAAGAATCAGTATCATGAAAGTGGCCATACTGCCCAAAGTAATTTATAGATTCACTGCTATCCCCATTAAACTACCATTGACTTTCTCCACGGAATTGGAAAAATATACTTTAAATTTCATATGGAATCAAAAAAGAGCCCGAATAGCCAAGATAATCCTAACCAAAAAGAACAAAGCTGGAAGCATCATGGTACCTGACTTCAAAATATACTACAAGCTACAGTAACCAAAACAGCATGGTGCTGTTACCAAAACAAATATATAGATCAAAGGAACAGAACAGAGGCCTCAGAATTAACACCACACATCTACAGCCATCTGATCTTTGACAAACCTCAGAAAAACAATCACTGGGGAAAGGATTCCCTATTTAATAAATGGTGTTGGGAAAACTGGCTAGCCATAGGCAGAAAGCTGAAACTGGATCCTTTCCTTACACCTTATACAAAAATTAACTCAAGATGGGTTAAAGACTTAAACATAAGACCTAAAGCCATAAAAACCGTAGAGGAAAACCTAGGCAATACCATTCAGGACATAAGCATGGGCAAAGACTTCCTGACTAAAACACCAAAAACAAAGGCAACAAAAGCCAAAATTGACAAATGGGACCTAATTAAACTAAAGAGCTTCTGGACAGAAAAAGAAACTATCAGAATGAATGGGCAACCTACAAAATGGGAGAAAATTTTTGCAATCTATCCATCTGACAAAGGGCTAATATCCAGAATCTACAAAGAACTTAAACAAATTTACAAGATAAAACAACCCCATTGAAAAGTGGGCGAAGGATGTGAACAGACACTTCTCAAAAGAGGACAATTATGCAACCAACAAACTTATGAAAAAAAAAGCTCAACATCACTAGTCATTAGAGAAATGCAAATCAAAACCACAATGAGATACCATCTCATGCCAGTTAGAGTGGCGATCATTAAAGAGTCAGGAAACAACAGGTACTGAAGAGGGTGTGGAGAAATAGGAAGGCTTTTACACTGTTGGTGGGAGTGTAAATTAGTTCAACCATTGTGGAAGACAGTGTGGCTATTCCTCAAGGATCTAGAACTAGAAATACCATTTGGCCCAGCAATCCCATTACTGGATATATACCCAAAGGATTATAAATCATTCTACTATAAAGACACATGCACATGTATGTTTATTGCAGGACTGTTCACAATAACAAAGACTTGGAACCAACCCAAATGCCCATCAATGATAGACTGAATAAAGAAAATGTGGCACATATACACCATGGAATACTATGCAGCCATAAAAAAGGATGAGTTCATGTCCTTTGCAGGGACATGGAAGAAGCTGGAAACCATCATTCTCGGCAAACTAACACAAGAACAGAAAACCAAACACCACATGTTCTCACTCATAAGTGGGAGTTGAACAATGAGAACACATGGTCACAGGGAGGGGAACATCACACACTGGGGCCTGTTGGGGGGTGGGGGAAGGGGGAGGAATAGCATTAGGAGAAATGTCTAATATAGGTAATGGGTTGATGAGTGCAGCAAACCACCACAGAATATATATACCTATGTAACAAACCTGCACTTTCGGCACATGTACCCCAGAACTTAAAGTATAATTTTAAAAAGTAGGTTAAAAAAGTATTACAGACACAGTCTGATGCAAATCTTTGACTTGGCTAGCGTCAAGGCTCTTAAAAGTCTAAGATTCCTTATTTCAAATTTCCAACAAAGCCAATTTTAAGAAGCCTGTATGGCCAATAAATATTCTTGCTGCACTTTATGGAAATAATCAGGCCAGGTATGATAAGACTAAAACTTATTTTGCATACAAAATTGGTCCTACTATGATTTGTCTTTGATAAAATGATGGACTAGAGAAAATTTTTGTTCCAAAAGAAAACTATGACATATGCTATTAGATTCCAACCCTGATCATTGTTTTAGAGTTTTTATTATTTGCCTATAATTTGGGCTGAATCCTGAATTATTTCCTGGATCCAAGTGTTCCCTAGTGAATCTGAATATAATATATTTTTAAAAACTTCTTTTATCCTGTCAGGAATGAGATGTATTTTTTGAAGGACTACTTAAACTAGCAATTACAATTCGATTATTATGATTATAGAATCTCGGGATTTCTCTTCCTTCTTGTCAAGGTCTTTACTTGATGTTTGTCTCATTAAAAAAAAAATGAGACTGATTACACTCTACTCAAGACTGAAGACATGTACTTTAACCTGTCTCTGTTACCAGTAAACCAAAGCCTTAACTTTCAGAATCTGTCAGGGACACTGTGTGGTCCCTGGATCAACCACCCATGGGCTTATGAATGTGTTGACTGCTGGCATATGAGAAGTAATTGTCTATTAGGTTATGTGACTCTTCCTCTTTCTATTTATAACTCCAATGTTTCTGAACACTGAAGTAATTCATCGAAATTACTTTCCAGGATTAGACAAACCTTACCTGCACACCAAGGAGATGAATTTTGGCCTATGTTTGGCAGAAGTCACTTGCAATGGTGGGGAGTAACCTCTCATGAACGTATAATTAGAAATCTGTCAACCAACCACTCTAGGTAACTTAGCAAATGAACCAGCTGAAGCCATAGCTACCAAACAAAGATCTTTAGACTCTTTAGCCAGGATAGTCATGGATGATGGAATAACTTTAGGCTACATAGTGGTGAAACAGGGAGAAATTCATATGGCAGCTAGCTAACACATCATGTTGTGTTTAGATCCATGCATCTTCTGAAGTTGAAACACATGTAAAAAAATAAGACAATATGAGAATTAATTATGACAAATCCTAGGGAAGAGGCTGAAAGAGCTGTAACACAAACAGGGCTGAGACATGCCCCTTGCTAGCCACATTGTGGGCAAAGAGAAGGAAAGAAGAGCTGTGACCCTTTGGGAAGCCCAGACCTGGGAGCTCCCCGAGCCAGGGCTGTGATTCCCTCTTTGGGGCCCTGTGGTTCCTGGTATCTCCAAGCTTCTGGGTGCCACTGTGTTCCCAGTGTGCCAGCTGTGGAAGCTGCTTGCGGTGCCCGTGGTCCAGCCACAGACTTGTGGAGAGCTGGTACCCATGTTGGCACCTGGAGTTACCTGCTCCACTGCAGCAGCCAGGAAGTCTGACTGCACAGTGGCCAGACCCCATGCTTGCTCACACACCCCTTGCCACTCCGCGCAGTCTCCCTTGGCAAACATGGGATCCAACCTGGTAGCATGAGCTGAGCACAGCCTGCCAGGCTGAGTGGGCGGGGCCCAAGCAAAACTCAGGTAAAGGTGCCACCAGCCATAGAGTTTTCTGTCCAGAAAAGTGACACTCCAAAGATCCCGTAACACCGCTACTCTTCCCAACCTCTGGAAACTCTCAGTCTACTCTCTATCTTGATGAGTTCAATTGTTTTAATTTTTAGCTCCCACAAATGTGTGAGAACATGCAAAGTCTTTCTGTGCCTGGCTCATTGTACTTAACATAATGTCCCCTAGTTCCATCCACGTTGTTGCAGATGACAGAATCTTATTCTTTTTCATGGCCGAAGAGTACTCCATTGTGTACATGTACTACATTTTCTTTATCCCTTCATCTGTTGATGCACACTTAGGTTGCTTCCAAATCTTGGCTATTATGAATAGTGCTGAAATAAATATGGGAATGCAGATAACTCTTTGATATACTAATTTTCCCTCCCTTGGGTATATACCCAGCATTGCTGGGTTGCTGCATTGCAGGATTGCTGTATCATATGATAGTTCTATTTTTAATTTTTTGAGGGACCTCCATATTGTTCTCCATAGTGAATGTACTAATTTACATTCCCACCAACAGAGTAAGAGGGTTCACTTTTCCCCACATTCTTGCAAGCATTTGTTATTGCCTCTCTTTTGCATAAAAGCCATTTTAATGGGGGTAAGATGATATCTTATTGTAGTTTTGATTTGAAATGCTCTGATGATCAATTATATTGAGCACCGTTTCATATACCTATTTGACATTTATATATCTTCTTTTTTGTTTTTGCTCATTTTTTGAGACAGGGTCTCACTCTGTCACCCAGGCTGGAGTGCAGTGGTATGATGATGGCTTACTGTAGTTTTGACTACCAGGGTTCAAGCAATCCTCCCACCTCAGCCTCCTGAGTAGCTGGGACCACAGGCATGCATCACCATGCCCAGATAGTTTTTAAAATTATTTGCTATGTTTTTCAGGTTGGTCTTGAACTCCTGGGCTCAAGTGGTCCACCTGTCTTGGCTCCCCAAAATGCTGGAATTACAGGTGAGAGCCACCGCGCCTGACCTGTGTGCCTTCTTTTGAGAAATGTCTGTTCAGATTTTTTGCCCATTTAAATAATTGGATTATTAGTTTTTTTTTCTTATAGAGTTGTTTGAACTCCTTATATATTCTGGTTATTAATCCCTTGTCAGATATATAGTTTGCAAATATTTTCTTCCATTCTGTGGATTGTCTTTTCACTTTGTCCATTGTTTTCTTTACTATGCAGAAACTTTTGAACTTCATGTGATACCATTTGTTCATTTCTGCTTTGGTTGACTGGGCTTTTGGGGTATTACTCAAGAAATCTTTGCCCAGACCAATTTTCTGGAGAGTTTCCCTAATGTTTTCTTTCACTAGTTTCTTGTCCTTGATTTAAGTCTTTAACCCATTTGGATTTGATTTTTGTATATAGCGCAAGAGAGGGTTCTAGTTTAATTATTCTGCCAATGACTTTGGGAGGCTGAGGTGGGCAGATCATGAGGGCAGGATATCGAGACCATCCTGGCTAACACAGTGAAACTCCGTCTCTACTAAAAATACAAAAAAAAAATTAGCTGGGTGTGGTGGGGGCACCTGTACTCCCAGCTACTTGGGAGGCTGAGGAGGAGAATGGTGTGAACCAGGGAGGTGGAGCTTGCAGTGAGCCCAGATCGTGCCACTGCACTGCAGCCTGAGCAACAGAGCTAGACTCCATCTCAAAAAAAAAAATTATTCTGCCAATGAATATCTAGTTTTCCCAGCACAATTTGTTGAAGAGACTGTCCTCTCCCCCATGTATATTCTTGGAATCTTCATTGAAAATGAGTTATTTGTAAATGTAAGGATTTATTTCTGGTTTCTCTATTCTGTTCCATTGGTCTATGTGTCTGTTTTATGCCAGTATCATGCTGCTTTGTTTACAATTGCCCTGTAGTATAATTTAACGTCAGGTGATGTGATTCTTCCAGTTTTGTTCTTTTTGCTAAGGATGGCTTTGGGTATTCTGGGTCTTTTATGATTTCATATAAATTTTAGGATTTTTTTTCTGTTTCTGTGAAGAATGTTATTAGTATTTCAATAGGGATTGCATTGAATCTGTAGATTGCTTTGTGAAGTATGTGTATTTTAACAATATTTACTCTTCCATTCAATGAACATGGACTATCTTTCCATTTTTTTGGTGTCTTCTTTAATTTTTTTGCATTGGTGTTCTATAGTTTTCATCGTAGAGATCTTTCACTTCTTTTGTTACATTTATTCCTAGATATTTTATTTTATTTGTAGGTATTGTAAATGGGAGTATGTACTTTATTTTCTGCTTTAGATTGTTCATTTTTGGCATTTAGAAATGCTACTGAGTTTTGTATTTTGATTTTGTATCGTGTGACTCTGAATTTGTTAATCAGTTCTAATAGCTTTTTGGTGGAGTCCTTAGGTTCTTCCAAATATAAGATCAAATCACCTGCAAACAAGAAAACAATAATAATTTTACTTCTTTCAATTTGGATGCCCTTTATTGTTTTTCACTTTTCTGTATTGCTTTAGCTAGGACTTCCAGTACTATGTTGAGTAACAGTGTTGGAAGTGGACATTCTTGCCTTGTTCCAGATCTTAGAAGAAAGGCTTTCAGGTTATCTCTGTTCAGGATGATACTGGCTGTTGGTCTGTTGCATATGGTTTTTATTGTGTTGTGGTATGTTCCTTCTAAATCTAGCTTTTTTTAGGGTTTATTTGTATCACAGGGATGTTGGATTTTATTAAATGCTTTTCAGCATCAATTGAAATTACCATATGGTTTTTGTCCTTCATTCTGTTGATATGATGTGTCACATTGATTGATTTGCATATGTTGAACCATGTTGGCATTCTTGAGGTAAATCCCACTTAGACATGATGAATGGTCTTTTTCATAGAAAGAGTATGGAAATACTACAGCCTTCTTTGTTTTTTGGAATAGTTTGGGTAGGATTGATAGTAATTCTTCCTTCGATGTTTGGTAAAATTAATCAGTGAAGCCATTGGATCCAGGCTTTTCTTTGCTAGGAGTTGTTTTATTATGGGTTCAATCTCATTTATCCATTTCTTCTAGGTTTGTTTTTTGGTTGTTTTTGGTTTTTTGTGGGTTTTTTTGTTTTTGTTTTTGTTTTGTTTTGTTTTTTTTTTTTGAGATGGAGTCTTTCTCTGTCACCCAGGATGGAGCTTGATACAATCTCAGCTCACTGCAACTTCTGCCTCCCATGTTCAAGTGATTCTCCTGCCTCAGCCTCAGGAGTAGCTGGGAGTAGAGGTGCACACCACCATGCCTGGCTAATTTTTGTATTTTTAGTAGAGATGGGGTTTCACCATGTTGGCCAGGCTGGTCTTGAACTCCTGACCTCAGATGATCACCTGCCTTGTCCTCTCAAAGTGTTGGGATTACAGGCATGGGCCACGGTGCCTGGCCATTACTTGCAGGTTTTTCAATTTACTGGAATATAGTTGGTCATAGTAGTTTCTAATGATTCTTTGAATTTCTGCAGTATCAGTTGTAGTGTCTCCTTTTTAATCTCTGGTTTTATGTATTTGAGTCTTCTCTCTTTTCTCTTAGTCTGGCTAAATGTTTGTTGATTTTGTTGATCTTTTAAAAAATATTAACTTTTCATTTCATTGATATTTTATATTTTTCAATTTCAATTTCATTTATTTCTGCTCTGATCTTTGCTATGTTTCCTTCTACTAATTTTGGTTTTGGTTTGCTCTTGCTTTTCTAATTATTTAAGATGCATTATTAGGTTGTTTATTTGAAGTTTTTCTACTTTTTTTGATGTAGATGCTTTTTGCTATAAACTTACTCATTAGTACTGTTTTTGCTGTATCCCATGGTTTGATTTTGTTTTTTTGTTTTTGTCTTTTTTTTTTTTTTGAGACAGAATCTCTCTCTGTTGCCCAGGCTGGAGTGCAGTGGCTCAATCTTGGCTTACTACAAGCTCTGCCTTCTGGGTTCATGTCATTCTCCCACCTGAGCCTCCCGAGTAGCTGGGACTACAGGTGCCCACCACCATGCCAGGCTAATTTTTGTTTTTTGTATTTTTAGTAGAGACAGGGTTTCACCGTGTTAGCCAGGATGGTCTCGATTTCCTGACCTCGTGATCCGCCCGACTCGGCCTCCCAAAGTGCTGGGATTACAGGTATGAGCCACTTCGCCCGGCCTGTATCCCATAGGGTTTGGTTTGACTTTAAAGTTTTTCTTTTCTCAAAAACTCAGTGTCGTGGTACCGGCTTCTAGTGCTCTGGGCAGTGAGACCCTTTTACTTGATAACTGGTAGCTGGGACAACTTGGCAATGTAAATAAATAAACGGCATCTAGATTAAAAAGGAAGAAGTACAGTTATCTTTATGTACAGATGACATGATCTTGCATTTAGAAAATCATAAGAAATTTACTAAAAAGTGGTAGGACTCATTAACAAATTTAGGAATGTAACACTATGTAAGATTGGTATACAAAAATAACTGTATTTCTTTACCAAGAAATCAAGAATCCAAAAATGGAATTACAAAAATAAATCTTGTTACAATAGAATTAAAGCTGGGGTAACTTTAACATAAGAAGCTTAAACTTGAACACTAAAAACATGGTTAGTGTTGGAAACACCCAGGTACCATCCCTGAGCCTTCTCTCCTTGGCTCTGAGGACTTTACCTTCATGGGGTGAAGAAAGGGGTTGCATTCTTGGCTTTTACATAATATTAGGTGGGTTCAGGGTGAGGTATCTGCAAGTCAAATGAGTATTACAATCTCTACTTTTATGTATAAGAGACTGAGGACCACAAAGAGAGAGAATGACAATCCATATCCTGGAAGGCGAATTGTCAGGCACTGATTTCCCCTATGTAACCCCTGCCAGTCATCGTGTATTCAAAGGATCCCCAGATACCTTACCAATAGGTGTTCAAGAGAGAGGCCTGTAATCTAGGCTTCTGAGAAAACAAGGCTAGAGTTTCCAATATTGGAGAAAACAGGGCTCTGGGAAGATTAAGGTTGAGTTTTCTGGATCTGCGGAATAGAGTCACTGAGGACCAATTGCAAGATCAGAGGAGAGGAAAGAACAAGTCAGGTCATGCTTAGGAAAAGAGAATACCAGGGATAGGTTTTAGGCAAGAGTCACACTGAGGAAGGGCAGGTTCTTGGCATCGCTCAGGAAGGAATCCAAAAGCAAGCCTGTGGTGGAAGAAAGCAGCTCTACAGGGGCACTGGCGGTGTTACAGCCCTGCTTCTGCTCCTGCAGGACAGGGAGCCCTCCGTGGGTTGTGCTCCCAGAGTAGCAGCCTAGGGGTGGCTTGCAGTCATTTTTATATTTCACTTTTAATGGCATGCTAATTAAGGGGAGGGTTATTCAGAAATAGCTAGAAATGGGCAGTAACTTCCAGCTGTTTCCATGGCAAGGGTTGGGGACTTCCCGTGCTGCCATGGCATTGGCAAACTGTCATGGCACTGGTGGGAGCATCTTCTGGTGATCTGAGGCCTGAGGTGCTTTCGCTGTCTCTCCCAGTTTCATGCGTGCCTCTTACCTGAAAGCCCTTCACACCCCCATCTACCCACCTACAAAGTTCACTGCCCTTTCACCCCACCCCCGTTTCACACTCACTCTCACATCAACCCTGAGCATTCAAGCCTGCGTTTCCCTGTTAGGAACCTCGGTGGTAGCCGGGGTTCTGAGAAAACCCTAGGCAGAATGCCTTGCCTAGTTTGTGGCAGAAATCAGGGAAGGAAAGACAAATTTCAGGTCTTTCTCACAATAAATAAATAAAGATAGGGAGATTTGATTGATTGATGGATGGATGAAACGTGGGAGTTTACGGGCAAATATTTATCAGACACTGGAAGTGTAAGTTGTCACAAAGATTATGGAGTGCACCTGTCTTATGACGCTGTTAACACTAGAAAATATTTTCTAAATGTGTAAATTGAAGGCTCACAAATTAGTTAAGTGAGAGAAAAGATAACGGATTGGAAGAGAATTACCATATTCATTAGTTGTGTTTTTAAAATTTTAAAGTAAAATACAGACATGATTTTTTTCACACTTTCGAATGCATCTATAAAAAATAGACTTGAGGGCTGGGCGCAGTGGCTCACGCCTGTAATTCCAGCACTTTGGGAGGCCGAGGAGGGCGGATCACGAGGTCAGGAGTTGGAGACCAGCCTGACCAACATAGCGAAAACCCGTCTCTACTAAAAATACAAAAATTAGTCAAGCGTGGTGGCGCGCCTGTAATCCCAGCTACTCAGGAGGCTGAGGCAGGAGAATCGCTTGAACCCGGGAAGCGGAGGTTGCAGTGAGCCGAGATCGCACCATTGCACTCCAGCCTGGGCGACAGAGTGAGACTCCGTCTCAAAAAAAAAAAAAAAAAAAAAGTTACTCATTAACAGCATAGACCAATTGGCCTCTATTGAAATTTCTCCATTATTTTCACAATGTCCCAGGCTGTGAAATCAGGATTTAATAAAGAACCAGAATGCCATATCTGTATCACCTGGGTAGGGACCAGTCCTGATTCATTAAGTCCGTGTCTCTGGGTAACTGGACTCAACTGCTGGACTAAACAGAATGTCCGGCGTGGGTTCCTAACCGGGCACCACAGAGCCTCATGGGAAATGTAGTGTCACTTTCCAATGATGTTACCATCAAGGACTTTGGGAACCAGCTTTTCTCTCTGCGCATGCGCCGCCCGGCCCACTCCGCCATTTTCATCCGGAAGTGCGTCACCCAGAGGCGGTCTTGTAGCGGGGCCGGCTTGGGGCTTGGTTCTATGTCCCTGCGGGTCGGTGCGAGGGCGAAGAGGAACCCGTGGGCCTCGGGGGATCCCGGGGGGCCGGACCAGTGTCCCCTAGTTGTGGGAGCAGACGCGTGGGCGCATCGCGGGCGGGCAGGGCCTGAAGTGCAGGTGCGGGCAGCGGACCCTGGCGGGGGCTGGGAGGACAGGCGTGGGGTCCCGGCAGTGAAGCGGGTTCTAGAGGCGCAGGAGCGGGTAGGCGAGGCCGGTGGCCCTGGGCCCGGAGTCTGCAGGCCGCGCTCCTGTCCTGCCGCTGAGGGACCCGGTTACCAACCTGCATGACGCTCAGTTTGCCCATCTGTCCCAGTGCTAACACACAGTTTTCGGGAGACGTTCCCCATTCCCAGAGGAGTAGTGCGAAATGCGTGCGCCTCTAGTCTTAAACTTGGCGTTTGTATTAGTTGGGTTTCCTGGTGTCTCTTTAGCAAGTGAAGTTTCTGGTTCCCTCCTTCACTGTGTGATCTGCCTAGTCCTCCTGGGTTGCATTTACAGAAGTTTATACGAGACCTAGTTTCCAAGGAAGAACTCACTGATTCCGCGAGGGAGAAGGCATAATGGATGATGGTCTTCAGCCTTAAGGGTACTTCAGTCTTAACTGTGTGTTACAAAGTTTGAAAGAGAGGGTTCCCTATGAATAAGAAGCGCACTTGAAAGAACAGCTGTCTGGTCTAACCTCTCACTGGTGCTTCAGAGGAGGAAAACAGGTCACAGGTGAGGATCCCAGTTTTCCTCGCTCAGGAAATATTAATTCTACTCCCTAGAATGCACAAGATTTGCAAAGACTAGGTGATAGTAGAAGGTTTGGACGAACTTTCAGAAGGTTGAGGTGAATTCAGCTGAGAAGAACAGGCAAGGACCTAGGAAATATTCCTTATTTGAAGGGGCCTGAAAGTGTGGTCTGGGGTACAGGAGTGACCTGTCATACTTGAGAAGATTAAAATACTCTCCAAACACAGTCCCATTCCTTCAACCTTAGCTCGTTTTTCCCAGCGTCTGAGATATATTAAACCTAGTCCATCCCCAAATTTAGCATTAGATTGCGAAGTTCTATTGATTGTATTTGATTTGTAATTTAAGATTTTCTCCCCCTACGTAATTTTGTTAAAAACACAGAAGTGAATTCTGTTCACTTAGGTGTAACAGTTAATACTTGCTGTTTAAGGAATTAATTAAACCTTACTGGCTTATAAAAAACAAACACCATTTTATTTGTTTGAAGTTCTGTGGATCTGCATTTTGGTGTGGTGGGTTCAGCTGGGTAGTTGATATATTTGTGTTGCCTGGATCACAAAAAGTCCTTAGTCACCTGGTGCCTTGACTGAGCCTGGTTGGTTTAAGATAGTTTCCTTCACAATCTGGTGGTTTGTGGTGACTCTTGGCTAGGCCCTGTGTCTCCAACAGGGTTGCTCCAGACCTCTTCACAATTTGACTGTGTCCAAAATGGCAAGAACCAATGGATATTTGCATCACATTTTCCATTGTCCATTCACTGGACAAGTCAGATGGAAAAGCCCAATTTATTATCAGAGCATAATATGAGGGCTTGCATAGAAGGAAAGCTGTTATTGGGAAACATGAGTACAATGGTGTACTGTAGGAAATACATATTATGTACATTTTAAAAAATGTAATTGTAGGCCAAAATTGCTGGTTTGCAAGATGCACTTTCCATGATGTTCAGGTAGAGAAAAGCAAGATGTACTGTCATGGGAACACTCATATGAAGTTATTTGTGGAATCTACATATAAATAGGAAAATAGTTAATACAGCCTAGTATATTTCTATAACATTTATTTTAGTGAACTTATAATGTTTCTTTGCATTAAATTATTAGATTATATCTTTAGATCATATTGTTACTAAATTAATAGGTAATACATATTTTTATTCAAAAATAAATTGTGCATCTAATGTCTACCAATTAATGTACTTGTAGATGTATCTTATCTTAACTTGAGTCTTTGATGCCCCTAATGAGGCGTGAAGGACTCTTCTCCCATGGGGAAGTTTTTCTTTTTCAGGAGGGAGGAGGGCTTTCCCAGGTAATGTGTCTAGAGTGTTGGGCAGAAGAATCTGGGACTACACCACACCAGTTCTCTCCTTAATCCACGTCATTTGCCTTCTATCCCAGCTATGTTTCCAGTGTCCTCTGGGTGTTTCCAAGAGCAACAGGAAACGAATAAATCTCTGGTGAGTTGTTTATTTGTTCTTCACTTTGTTTTACACTGTATTTTCTGAGTTTTTGGGTGTCTGTGAATTAAAAAGGAAAAGTAGAAATAAGTAAAACTCAGGTTGAAGGAAATATACATAAATAAGATAAAGCTGACCTGTAGATATAGGCAGGTTATAAGAGCTTAGAGTTGTCTAAGTTGGGTGCAAATTTTCCTCTGATCTTTCTGATGCCGAGACAAAAAAGGCAGTCATATTTGTTACGTGATTGGAGTGGAACCCGAGAAGAGAACATGCTGTGTTCTTGTGGGACAGGAAAGCTTGCGTGCACCAAGTCTGAACCACCACCTTCATTGGTGACATATATTATGTGCTGGAACATATTTCACACCGGCCTGGCAGTAACCACTTGTAGTGTTGTACAGTGGAAACGGTCATCTTCCGCTAAAGCACAGTGTGTTGTGCAGCGGAAATGGTCATCTGCCGCTAAAGCACAGCTTCCATCGTAAGATATGCTCCTTGCTCAAAGAGTGTGGTCCCAAACAGCTTTTGGGAGGTCCTCCTTGATTCATGGATGAAACCCGGAACATCTTGAGGACTGAGTTAACCATAGGTCCTTAAATAACTCTCCACACTTTTTCTTAGTTTGTCTCTACATGCAGGGTGTGCAGCAGCCTGTTCAAAGTCATATTTTCCGGGAAATATTTCCAGTGTTTATTTGCACTTTAGCCCACTCTGTGTAGTCTTAACTTATTTCTTCTAAACTCACCATTAACCTAAATAATAGTCAAATTTAGGGGGACTGTATTTGCCTTACTCGAGTCTTCTAGCATAGTTGAAACTGTCGTACCTGAGTGAGAGAGAAACGCCACACTTTGAGACGAATTCAGGAGTCCTTTATTAGCCGGTGACTGAGAGACGGCTAACGCACGAAATTCTCTCGGCCCCAAAGAAGGGACTAGATTTTCTTTTATACTTTGGTTTAGAGAGGGGAGGGGGGATTCTAGCTGCAGCAACTTTACAGAAGAAATAAACAGACAAAAAAGTTAAAAAGACAGATGGTTACAGGAAAACAAACTGTTCCAGGTGCAGGGGCTTTAAATTCACCAAAAAGTGATAGGTGAGGGGGCTCTGGGCATTATCTGCCGGACAAATGTGGGGGCTTTATGATACTATCTCTGAGTAATTTGCTGGGAACTGCGGACATCTCTTGTCTCAGCACTTTATCAGTTAATTGCACTCTTTGATATGTTGAAAATCAGCTTGCACAAGTTAAAGTCCTTGAGGAAAGGGGGTGGGTAAGAAGCCCTTGATGTTTTGTAAATGAAGGAGCCAAATGGAATTTGTCTGGTTTTCTCAGCTAAGGGAGAGTCTATTCATATTAAAAACAAGGTTAGCTATCTAAGGAACAATCTATTCATGTTAATACAACGTTGGGTATTACAAAACATCTGTTCATGATCTGGAAATTCTTCTGTGTTAGTTCTGTTAAAAGAAAAACTTTAAAGGAGTTTAATTGAGCAATAAATGATTCACAAATCGGACAGTCCCCAGAATCACAGCAGATTCACAGAGACTCCAGCGCAGTCATGTGGTGGAAGAAGATTTATAGACAAAAGGGAAATGGCATACCGAAATCGGAAGTGAGGTACAGAAACAACTCAGCGTTTGCCTTGTTTGAACACAGTTTGAACATTTGGCAGTGCCTGAGTTGTTGAAGTTTGGCCATTGGGATTGGCCAAGATGTAGCTGTTGTTCCAGGTGCATACTCTCAAGTTATTTTTTCATTCTTGTATACCTATTAAGGTAGGTTGCAGTTCATCCACAAGGACTCATATATAGAATTATGGAGTCCTTCTCAGGCCATACTTAGTTCACTTTAACAATGCCTTCCCTTTGGTTATTTTCTCAATTTTGAGAGATTGGCCAAAACTTCAGTCACTGGTGTCACTATTACCATTGCAAATGTACTTACTTGGTTTAGAAACCCACTGGGAAATAGACCAGTGAGATTTGAAAAGGTGGAACAAGGACTTGAGTAGAAGGTATCTTCTTATGCTGGAACATCCTGTTTATAGGAGAAAAACAAAACCTGGTTTGTTCTAGGATTTATATGTTTCCTTAAAGTCTTAGTTTGATTATGTTACATTTAGCATGAGTGACTCCATTTTGGTTTGGTTTGGTCTGTTGGGACCTATTGCATGAGCTTAGTTCAAAACAATGGCCTCCCATAGTTTTGCTTAAAAAATTCCTCCTTTTGGCTGGGCGCGGTGGCTCACACTTGTAATCCTAGCACTTTGGGAGGCTGAGGTGGGCAGATCACGAGGTCAGGAGATTGAGACCATCCTTGCTAATATGGTGAAACCCTGTCTCTACTAAAAATACAAAAAAATAGCCAAGCGTGGTGGCGGGTGCCTGTATTCCCAGCTACTCAGGAGGCTGAGGCAGGAGAATGGCCTGAACCCGGGAGGCGGAGCTTACAGTGAGCTGAGATCGTGACACTGCACTCCACTCTGTGGGACACACCAAGACTCTGTCTTAGAAAAAAAAAATCCTCCTTTTCAGTCAAGTTCTCACTTAGTTGAGAGTGTGACCAAAATATAGGGCCTTAGCATCACTCTTAGTTACCATTGTTTTGGGTTCCGGTTTTAGCACATCATTCCCACTGTTTTGTGTTTCTGGTTTAGCACGTCACTCCCATTGTTTTGGGTTCCGGTTTTAGCACATCACTCCCATGTTTTGGGTTCTGGTTTTAGCACGTCACTCCCATTGTTTGGGGTTTTTGGTTTAGCACGTCACTCCCATTGTTTTGGGTTCCAGTTTTAGCGAGTCACTCTCATTGTTTTGGGTTTCTGGTTTAGCATGTCACTCCCATTGTTTTGGGTTCCAGTTTAAGCACATCACTCCCATTGTTTTGGGTCTCTGGTTTCGCAGGTCACTCATAGGTTACAGTGTCCTTATGGTTGCACATTTTTTTTAAATCTCTTGTCATTCCAGTTGAAGAGATAACATTTGACATTTTAGAGATGCCTGCATGCAAACTCTTAAAACATCTGAGTAAGTACAGTGCACCAGGGAGACTCTTATGACTACTGGGATAATACCAAGAATTTGGTATATGCTCCTTACTCAGGGTCCCCATAAATCAAACCACCTAAAATAAAATAGATTAAAGAATGAATTAGATAAAGAGTTTACTTGCTTAACTAAGTGGGTTTTTTGTTAATTCCCTACAACCAAATCTTTATAATACCCCATGTTTTCTCCACATGCTGTAAGTGTTAGCAGCTGCACAGATACTTAAGATAAGAGTCTCATGATAGTAGAGAAGTCTTGATCTGTGATCTTGGGAGAAGCTGTTCACATTAAGGATGCCATCTTCTTCTGGGGGGAACTGTCCTTGTTAGCTTTACCTTAAGGGTTCCAATAGGTATATGGTTCCAAGTGTGGAGGGACCCTTCTGAGTTGTGAAACTATGAACCCAAAGTTTAAGTTTTTAAAGTTTTGCTGTCATGTGGATGGCAAGGGCAGTCCTTCTCTGATGTTCTCAGAAGATCCAGTCATCAGATTCTAGATTGTGAAGGGGTTGACTGTCCCCAGTGAACCATAAAAGGCTTTCTTTACCTGGTGAAAATACACTTCAGGGTAATAATGTACTGTTTTAACATCAACTCTCTCGCATGGAAGAGCTTTTATACAATCAGAAAGCATGCACTGAAAATGACAACTGAATGAAATCCCTTTATAAAATGTTTAAATGGCCCATCAGGTAACCAAATGTACCTGAAGTTTTGATTGTTTTCCTAGGAATATAGGTTTGACAAACCAAACATTGGTTATAAACTATTTTAGCAGTTTAGAAATCACCACACCAATATATTTAATTTGGATCATTTTCTCTTTCCATGATGAGTTATGGAATGCAGAACTTTTAATAACAAAAGTTTTAAGGACTTAAGAAGGATAAGGTGGCCATCCTGGTTCTTCATAAGTCTGTGCTTAATTAACATTAGACTTACATCCTCTTGAATACCAGCTGTTTCTCCAAATTAGGTGCATGGCACTGGTAACTGATGAGTAGTTATAGGTAATTTGACTTAGACCATGGAGTTTATTTAAATTATATATCTAAACAATTTCAATATTGGTGATTTAGCATGCAAATGTGGCAAAATATTTCCTTGGTATACAATTTTTGTTTTACTTGGGTTAGAAGTTTTATAAACCAGTTGGTCTTTTTATTAAACTTTTGGGATTTTTTTTTTTTTTTTTGAGACAGAGTCTCACTGTGTTACCTAGGTTGGAGTGCAGTGGCACAATCTTGGCTCACTGCAACCTCCACCTCCTGGGTTCAAGCAATTCTCTTGCCTCAGCCTCCAGAGTAGCTGGGATTACAGGCACATACCACCACACCTGGCTAATTTTTGTATTTTTAGTAGAGGTGGGCTTTCACCGTTGGCCAGGCTGGTCTCAAACTCCTGACCTCAAGTGATCCACTGGCCTTGGCCTCCCAAAGTGCTGGGATTGCCGACGTGAGCTGCTGCACCCAGCCTAACATTTGAGAATTCTTAACCAGTCCAATTCTTGGGGTATCTTGGAACTTATGGGGAATTTTTACCCATGATATTAAAGTTATTAGAAATCTGTGTTCACAAGTGTTTTTTAGGGTCCTTTTCATTCTTTCATGAATCTTCTAAGAGACACCATATTCTAGAATTTTGCATGCTTGTGAAGTTTTTAGAAACTGCATCACCATTAAGCAATTAACTGTGGAAATGACTTTAAACAGTTATAGTTAAAGAAAATTGACAAGGAAATTTGGTTATTTTTGTGGTCTACAATAACTTAATAACCATAATTAGGGTGGATGTGGTGGCTCATGCCTGTAATCCCAGCACTATGGGAGGCCGAGGTGGAAGGATCACGAGGTCAGGAGATGGAGATCATCCTGGCTAACACAGTGAAATCCGTCTTTACTAAAAATACAAAAATTAGCCTGGCATGGTGGTAGGTGCCTGTAGTCCCAGCTACTTGGGAGGCTGAGGCAGGAGAATGGCATGAACCTGGGAGGTGGAGGTTGCAGTGAGCCAAGATTGCACCACTGTACTCCAGCCTGGGTGACAGAGCAAGACTCCATCTCAGAAAAAAAAAAAAAAAAAAAAAATCAAGAATTTTAGAAATCCTATACAATTTTAGAATGGATTGATGACATACACTAAATATAACCTGAAGAAGGTTCAACATTATTTTTTATTTTGACAGTGCTACCCATGTGACTTAACATGTTAAATAGTCCTGTTTACCTCTCTTTTGGGTGCTTCAGGGGCCTCTGTAGTGTCCCAAAGTTAGAGGTCAGAAAAGACAATTTTGAAGTTGAAATTTGATTTTGGGAAGCCTATTAAATATATTAAAGGTTTAAACACTTGATGTTATGAAATAGAATTCCACGTCACCATAAGTCATTCATTTACCTAAAATCATGACTTAAAAAATTTTTAAAGGGCAAAAATCTTTACTCATTGATAGGGGGAAGACTTATCTTCACAAACGATCTGCCTCTTGTTTTTCCTTTTTTTTTTTTTTGGTAGTTTATTTACAAGGCAAACAAATTTTTCATTTTTTTATTTTATTTTATTATTATTATTATTATTATTATTATTATTATTATTATACTTTAAGCTTTAGGGTTTATGTGCACAATGTGCCGGTTAGTTACATATGTATACATGTGCCAGTCTGGTGTGCTGCACCCATTAACTTGTCATTTAGCATTAGTTACATCTTCTAATGGTATCCCTCCCCCCTTCCCCCACCTCACAACAGTCCCCAGAGTGTGATGTCACCCTTCCTGTGTCCATGTGTTCTCATTGTTCAATTCCCATCTATGAGTGAGAACATGCAGTGTTTGGTTTTTTGTCCTTGTGATAGTTTACTGAGAATGATGATTTCCAATTTCATCCATGTCCCTACAAAGGACATGAACTCATCATTTTTTATGGCTGCATAGTATTCCATGGTGTATATGTGCCACAATTTCTCAATCCAGTCTAACGTTGTTGGACATTTGGGTTGGTTCCAAGTCTTTGCTATTGTGAATAGTGCCACAATAAACATACGTGTGCATGTGTGTTTATAGCAGCATGATTTATAGTCCTTTGGTTATATACCCACTAATGGGATGGCTGGGTCAAATGGTATTTGTAGTTCCAGATACTTGAGGAATCGCCACACTGACTTCCACTATCGTTGAACTAGTTTACAGTCCCACCAACAGTGTTCCTATTTCTCCACATCCTCTCCAGCACCTGTTGTTTCCTGACTTTTTAATGATTGCCATTCTAACTGGTGTGAGACGGTATCTCATTGTGGTTTTGATGTACATTTCTCTGATGGCCAGTGATGATGAGCATTTTTTCATGTGTCCTTTGGCTGCATAAATGTCTTCTTTTGAGAAGTGTCTGTTCATATCCATTGCCCACTTTTTGATGGGGTTGTTTGTTTTTTTCTTGTAAATTTGTTTAAGTTCGTTGTAGATTCTGGATATTATCCCGTTGTCAGATGAGTAGGTTGCGAAAATTTTTTCCCATTTTGTAGGTTGCCTGTTCACTCTGATGACAGTTTCTTTTGCTATGCAGAAGCTCTTTAGTTTAATTAGATCCCATTTGTCAATTTTGGCTTTTGTTGCCATTGCTTCTGGTGTTTTAGACATGAAGTCCTTGCCCATGCCTATGTCCTGAATGGTAATGCCTAGGTTTTCTTCTAGGGTTTTTATGGTTTTAAGTCTAACATTTAAGTCTTTAATCCATCTTGAATTAATTTTTGTATAAGGTGTAAGGAAGGGATCCAGTTTCAGCTTTCTACATATGGCTAGCCAGTTTTCCCAGCACCATTTATTAAATAGGGAATCCACTGCTTCTTTTTGTCAGGTTTGTCAAAGATCAGATAGTTGTAGATATGTGGCATTATTTCGGAGGGCTCTGTTCTGTTCCATTGGTCTATATCTCTGTTTTGGTACAAGTACCATGCTGTTTTGGTTACTGTAGCCTTGTAATATAGTTGGAAGTCAGGTAGCGTGATGCCTCCAGCTTTGTTCTTTTGGCTTAGGATTGACTTGGTGATGCAGGCTCTTTTTTGGTTCCATATGAACTTTAAAGTAGTTTTTTCCAATTCTGTGAAGAAAGTCATTGGTAGTTTGATGGGGATGGCATTGAATCTATAAATTACCTTGGGCAGTATGGCCATTTTCATGATATTGATTCTTCCTATCCATGAGCATGGAATGTTCTTCCATTTGTTTGTATCCTCTTTTATTTCATTGAGCAGTGGTTTGTAGTTCTCCTTGAAGAGGTCCTTCACGTCCCTTGTAAATTGGATTCCTAAGTATTTTATTCTCTTTGAAGCTATTGCGAATGTGAGTTCACTCATGATTTGGTTCTCTGTTTGTCTGTTATTGGTGTATAAGAATGCTTGTGATTTTTGTACATTGATTTTGCATCCTGAGACTTTGCTGAGGTTACTTAGCTTAAGGAGATTTTGGGCTGAGACAATGGGGTTTTCTAGATATACAATCATGTCGTCTGCAAACAGGGACAATCTGACTTCCTCTTTTCCTAATTGAATACCCTTTATTTCCTTCTCCTGCCTGATTGCCCTGGCCAGAACTTCCAACACTATGTTGAATAGGAGTGGTGAGAGATGGCATCCCTATCTTGTGCCCGTTTTCAAAGGGAATGTTTCCAGTTTCTGCCCATTCAGTATGATATTGGCTGTGGGTTTGTCAAAGATAGCTCTTATTATTTTGAGATACGTCCCATCAATACTTAATTTATTGAGAGTTTTTAGCATGAAGCGTTGTTGAATTTTGTCAAAGGCCTTTTCTGCATCTATTGAGATAATCATATGGTTTTTGTCTTTGGTTCTGTTTATATGCTGGATTACATTTATTGATTTGTGTATATTGAACCAGCCTTGCATCCCAGGGATGAAACCCACTTGATCATGGTGGATAAGCTTTTTGATGTGCTGCTGGATTCGGTTTGCCAGTATTTTATTGAGGATTTTTGCATCAATGTTCATGAAGGATATTCATCTAAAATTCTCTTTTTTGGTTGTGTCTCTTCCCGGCTTTGGTATCAGGATGATGCTGGCCTCATAAAATGAGTTAGGGAGGATTCCTTCTTCTTCTATTGATTGGAATAGTTTCAGAAGGAATAGTACCAGTTCCTCCTTGTACCTCTGGTAGAATTTGGTTGTGAATCCATCTGGTCCAGGAGTTTTTTTGGTTGGTAGGCTATTGATTATTGCCACCATTTCAGCTCCTGTTATTGGTCTATTCAGAGATTCAACTTCTTCCTGGTTTAGTCTTGGGAGAGTGTATGTGTCAAGGAATTTATCCATTTATTCTAGATTTTCTAGTTTATTTGCGTAGAGGTGTTTGTAGTATTCTCTGATGGTAGTTTGTATTTCTGAGGGATCAGTGGTGATATCCCCTTTATCATTTTTTATTGTGTCTATTTGATTCTTCTCTCTTTTTTTCTTTATTAGTCCTGTTAGCAGTCTATCAATTTTGTTGATCATTTCAAAAAACCACCTCCTGGATTCATTAATTTTTTGAAGGGTTTTTTTGTTGCTATTTCCTTCAGTTCTTCTCTGATTTTAGTTATTTCTTGCCTCTGTTAGCTTTTGAACGTGTTTGCTCTTGCTTTTCTAGTTGTTTTAATTGTGATGTTAGGGTGTCAATTTTGGATCTTTCCTGCTTTCCCTTGTGGGCATTTAGTGCTATAAATTTCCCTCTACACACTGCTTTGAATGTGTCCCAGAGATTCTGGTATGTTGTGTCTTTGTTCTCGTTGGTTTCAAATAACATCTTTATTTCTGCCTTCATTTCGTTATGTACCCAGTAGTCATTCAGGAGCAGGTTGTTCAGTTTCCATGTAGTTGAGCAGTTTTGAGTGAGTTTCTTAATCCCGAGTTCTAGTTTGATTTCACTGTGGTCTGAGAGACAGTTTGTTATAATTTCTGTTCTTTTACTTTTGCTGAAGAGGCCTTTACTTCCAAGTATGTGGTCAATTTTGGAATAGGTGTGGTGTTGTGCTGAAAAAAAGGTATATTCTGTTGATTTGGGGTGGAGAGTTCTGTAGATGTCTATTAGGTCCGCTTGGTGCAGAGCTGAGTTCAATTCCTTGGTATCCTTGTGAACTTTCTGTCTCATTGATCTGTCTAATGTTGGCAGTGGGGTGTTAAAGTCTCCCATTATTATTGTGTGGGAGTCTAAGTCTCTTTGTAGGTCACTCAGGACTGGCTTTATGAATCTGGGTGCTCCTGTATTGGGTGCATATATATTTAGGATAGTTAGCTCTTCTTGTTGAATTGATCCCTTTACCATTATGTAATGGTCTTCTTTGTCTCTTTTGATGTTTGTTGGTTTAAAGTCTGTTTCATCAGAGTCTAGGATTGCAACCCCTGCCTTTTTTTTGTTTTCCATTTGCTTGGTAGGTCTTTCTCCATCCTTTTATTTTGAGCCTATGTGTGTCTCTGCACGTGACATGGGTTTCCTGAATACAGCACACTGATGGGTCTTGACTCTTTATCCAATTAGCCAGTGTGTGTCTTTTAATTGGAGCATTTAGTCCATTTACATTTAAAGTTAATATTGTTATGTGTGAATTTGATCCTGTCATTATGATGTTAGCTGGTTATTTTGCTCGTTAGTTGATGCAATTTCTTCCTAGTCTTGATGGTCTTTACAATTTGTCATGTTTTTGCAGTGGTTTGTACCGATTGTGCCTTTGCATGTTTAGTCCTTCCTTCAGGAGCTCTTTTAGGGCAGGCCTGGTGATGACAAAATCTCTCAGCATTTGCTTGTCTGTAAAGGATTTTATTTCTCCTTCACTTATGAAGCTTAGTTTGGCTGGATATGAAATTCTGGGTTGAAAATTCTTTTCTTTAAAAATGTTGAATATTGGCCCCCACTCTCTTCTGGCTTGTAGAGTTTCTGCCGAGAGATCAGCAGTTAGTCTGATGGGCTTCCCTTTGTGGGTAACCCGAACTTTCTCTCTGGCTGCCCTTAACATTTTTTCCTTCATTTCAACTTTGGTGAATCTGACAATGATGTGTCTTGGAGTTGCTGTTCTCGAGGAGTATCTTTGTGGCATTCTCTGTATTTCCTGAATCTGAATGTTGCCCTGCTTTGCTAGATTGGGAAAGTTCTCTTGGATAATATCCTGCAGAGTGTTTTCCAACTTGGTTCCATTCTCCCTGTCACTTTCAGGTACATGAATGTGACATAGATTTGGTCTTTTCACATAGTCACATATTTCTTGGAGGCTTTGTTCATTTCTTTTTATTCTTTTTTCTCTAAACTTCCCTTCTCACTTCATTTCATTCATTTCATCTTCCATCACTGATACCCTTTCTTCCAGTTGATCGCATCAGCTCCTGAGGCTTCTGCATTCTTCATGTAGTTCTCGAGCCTTGGCTTTCAGCTCCATCAGCTCCTTTAAGCACTTCTCTATATTGGTTATTCTAGTTATACATTCGTCTAAAGTTTTTTCAAAGTTTTCAACTTCTTTGCCTTTGGTTTGAATTTTTCCCTGTAGCTCGGAGTAGTTTGATCGTCGGAAGCCTTCTTCTCTCAGCTCATTAAAGTCATTCTCTGTCCAGCTTTGTTCCATTGCTGGTGAGGAACTGCATTCCTTTGGAGGAGGAGAGGTTTTCTGCTTTTTAGAGTTTCCAGTTTTTCTGCTCTGTTTTCGCCCCATCTTTGTGGTTTTATCTACTTTTGGCCTTTGATGATGGTGATGTACAGATGGGTTTTTGGTGTGGATGTCCTTTCTGTTTGTTAGTTTTCCTTCTAACAGACAGTACCCTCAGCTTAAGGTCTGTTGGAGTTTGCTAGAGACCCATTCCAGACTCTGTTTGCCTGGGGATCAGCAGTGGTGTCTGCAAAACCATGGATTTTCGTGATCTGCGAATGCTGCTGTCTGATCGTTCCTCTGGAAGTTTTGTCTCAGAGGAGTACCCGGTCGTGTGAGGTGTCAGTCTGCCCCTACTGGGGGGTTCCTCCCAGTTAGGCTGCTCAGGGGTCAGGGGTCTGGGACCCACTTGAGGAGGCAGTCTGCCCATTCTCAGATCTCCAGCTGCGTGCTGAGAGATCCACTGCTCTCCTCAAAGCTGTCAGACAGGGACATTTAAGTCTGCAGAGGTTACTGCTGTCTTTTTGTTTGTCTGTGCCCTGCCCCCAGAGGTGAAGCCTGCAGAGGCAGGCAGGCCTCCTTGAGCTGTGGTGGGCTCCACCCAGTTTGAGCTTCCTGGCTGCTTTGTTTACCTAAGAGAGCCTGGGCAATGGCCGGTGCCCTTCCCCCAGCCTCGCTGCTGCCTTGCAGTTTGATCTCAGACTGCTGTGTTAGCAATTAGCAAGATCCCATGGGCGTAGGACCCTCCGAGCCAGGTGCAGGATGTAATCTCCTGGTGCGCCGTTTCCTAAGCCCATCAGAAAAGCACAGTATTAGGGTGGGAGTGGCCCAATTTTCCAGGTGCCATCTCTCACCCCTTTCCTTGACCAGGAAAGGGAACTAACTCCCTGACCTCTTGTGCTTCCCGAGTGAGGCAATGCCTTGCCCTGCTTCGGCTAGTGCACAGTGCACTTCACCCACTGTCCTGCACCCACTGTCTGGCACTCCCTAGTGAGATGAACCCAGTACCTCAAATTGGAATGCAGAAATCACCCATCTTCTGCGTCGTTCATGCTGGGAGCTGTAGAGTAGAGCTGTTCCTATTCGGCCATCTTGGCTCCTCCTCCCATTATTTTTTAATATTTTCTGAAAATCTTCTTTAAAGAGAGAAAGCCAAATGTCACCCACTTTTTCATAAAACCTTATAGGCAAATCTATTATTCTTTTTTTTTTTGAGATGGATTTTCCCTCTCGTTGCCCAGGCTGGAGTGCAATGGTGCGATCTCGGTTTACTGCAATCCGCTGCCTCCCAGGTTCAAGCGATTCTCCCGCCCCAGCCTCCTGAGTAGCTGGGATTAGAGGCATGCCCCACCATGCCCAGCTAATTTTGTGTTTTTAGTAGAGACAGGGTTTTTCCTTGTTGGTCTGGCTGGCCCTGAACTCCTGACCTCAGGTGATCCACCTGTCTCAGCCTCCCCAAGTGTTGGGATTACAGGCGTGAGCCACTGCCCCTGGCCATGTTTTTTTTAAAGATAGCGTCTTGCTCTGTCACCCTCCTCACCACATTATAGCTCTGGGGGCCAAGCTGCATCACAATGGAAATCATGGTGCCACAGGAAGAATCCACTCAGCTTTGCAAGATGCTGCCCAAGGGGTTGCTTGGAGTAACCAAATTAATATTTTTCATTCTGCTCAGAGCAAAATACATGTGACAAAACATAGACACGAGCCACTTTGCATAGCACACAGTGTCAAACTGGTAAGACTCAAACTTGCTCCCAGATAGGCCGTGCCATCTCTAAATCTTTTTAGAAGCTTCTGCATATTAATAGGCATCCCTAAGTGAGACTAATTGGGGAGCCCTCATTTTTAAATGCACTTCAGGGCATTATTCATTTGGAATGTTCCACTGTAAGTTATCTTTAGTAAGATTTTGCCATTTCTGTAAGACTTTGCTGCTTCCCAGGCCTAATGAATTAGCCAGAAGGAACTTAGTTTTCCAGAAATTAAGGATCCTATTTTTACCTAATATATTGGCTTTACTCCCAGGTTCCCTTGATTGACTTAGCCAATGATTTTTTTTTCCTACCTAAGTATGCGAGGAAAATGAAACAAAGGGGTAGAACACAAAAATCCCTGTGAATTTTGAAAAGCCAAATTTTACAACCCTCCAATGTTATCATTTGCTACCACTTTCCTTCTGACCCATTCAGATGTAGGAGGCCTCTAACTGGAACTGGATTCAAGCCAGTTAACTACTGGATCAAATCTGATCCTGGACCCGGTCCCGTTTCTGTCATAACTTCTAAAACATCCAGCCAGTCATGGCTGGATAGCAGTTTGGAACAGAAATTTGCTCAAAGAAACTCAGAGCTCAAAACACAAATCCATGGAGCTCTGAAATCCGAGAGAGAATTTACCACGATCCCCAGCTGCTCTGAGAGGTCAAAGGGCACAAGTGTTACAGAATCCTGAGGCATCAATTTTCTGCCTGAAACCTCTGTCTGGTGGCACATTTACCTGTGTTTTGCTCGAGCCCACTGGGTTCGTTCTGTCCACTCGGCTCATGCTAGTGGTCTGGATCCCACACCTGCCAAGGGTGAGCTGGGTACAGAGCAGTGAAGGGTGTGTGAGCAAGCGAGCATGGGATCTGGCCACTGCACACAGCCAAGCATGCCAGCTGCAGTGGTGTGGGCAGCTCCAGGCACCGGCACAGGTGCCAGCTCCCTGTGAGGCTGCAGCTGGACCAGGCCGACTGCAAACAGCTTCCACTGTGGGTATCAGGGAATGCAGTGGTGCCCAGAAGCTTAGAGATGTAGGAACTGCAGAGCCCCAAAGAAGGTGTCACAGCCCTGGCTTGGGGAGCTCCTAGGTCTGGGCTCCCTGAAGGGCCACAGCTCTTCTCTCCTTCTCTCTTCTCTTCTTCTTGCCTGCAATTTGGCAAGCAAGGGGTGCGTTTCAGCCCTGTTTATGTTGCAACTCTTTCAGCCCTGCTAGTTGGCAGGTCCCGAGTTCTTGTCCTGAGTCCAGGAAGAATGAGGTATGTGGGCAAGTAGAAGGTGAGCAAGGTGAAGAGGTGCTTTATTGAGCAACAGTACAGCTCAGAGGAGACCTGCAGTGGGTAGCTCCTTTCTGCAGGCAGGTCATCCCAACATCTGTTCAGCTCTCAGCAGCTGAGAGAGACGCACGGTGGTTAGCTGTGCACACGATGCCCAGGCTGTTCGAGCTGAGGAGTGCCTTCAGGCCAGTGCTGAGCCACTCTTAGCCCCACCTCAACCTCCCTCCTGTGCTCGTCAGTGCCCAAAGTCTGGAGGGGGCTGAGGTGGCAGGGGGCTGGCATGTCAGCACTGCCCTGAGCTTGCACAAACTGGGCTGGGTTGCGACTGTACCCGGGTTCAGCCTCAACTTGGATCTGAAGTTGGAGTGGGCTCTGGGAGTGGAGACGCCAGGTGGTGGGACCAGGTACAACTGAGCCTGCGGGGGCAGGGGGGCTTGCTGGGCCTCTGAGAGTGCAAAGATGCCCGGGTTTGCAGTCATGGCTGGATGGCTGCAGCTGTGCCTGGGAGGGCGGGGCTCCTGCCTACCAATTTAGAAGGGGTGGGGCTCCCCCCCGTTCCTGGCTCCCACCAGCTTCGAGGAGCGCACAGCCCCAGCCACTCCTCCCCACAGCAGCCAGTGTCTCCGTAGCAACTTCTCCACGTGGGCCACTGCTGCCATCACAGAGCAGTCCTTGCAGGTGCCTTTCTTGTACCTCAGCACTCCTGGGGGTCATTAGAAGCCCTAGCAACACTGCTCACCACACTATAACTCCGGAGGCCCTAGCAGTCCTGCTACCACAGATCCCACTTCTGATACCATCTATTAAAAGAAAATCTTCAGCTGAATTAAATTTAAAGGAACTTAATTGAGCAATGAATGATTCACGAATCAGGCAGCCCCCAGAATCACAGCAGATTCGGTGAGACTCCAGCACAGCTACATGGTGGAAGATTTATAGACAATAAAGGGAACGTGATGTACAGAAGTCTGAAGTGAGGAGTGAGGTCCAGAAGCACCTGAGCCTGTTACAGTTCTCAGCAGTGAGGTCCAGAAACAACTGGACTGGTTACAGTGCTCAGCATTTGCCTTATTTGAACACAGCTGAACACTCAGCAGTGTGTGAGTGGCAGAAGTTTGGCTGTTGGGATTGGTCAGGACTCAGCTATAGTTACAGGCGCATACTCCTAAGTTAGGTTTTCAGTCTTTCTACCTATTAAGTGAGGTTGCAGTTTGTCCACAGGGACTCAAATCTAGAAGTACAGAGTCCTTCCCAGGCCATATTTAGTTCACTGTAACAGTTCCTATTATGACCTCACTGACAGTTCTTTTTCTCTGAATTCTCCTTTCTTCTCAACAGCTTATCCAAATGTTCCGTTGGTCCCTGTTCATCCCGCCCTGCAGTTCTCCTTGACTGATTCAGCCCTTTGTGGTTTGCAGTCCTGTTTCTCTACAGCTTGGACCCCTTCAGTCTTTCCATCATAAGTTTAACTCTCTGTTGAATGCTTCTTTGTAGCTACACAAAAGTTACCTTAAGCTCAAAAATTTCAAAGTGAAAGCCACATCCTCCTCTCTTCCCTTATGTATATGGTATTACTACCATGCAGCCAGTGACCCAAAATGGGATTTCTTCTGGGCTTTTCTTGGTTAGATTCAGGCTCATCTGGTGTCAAGCTTTGTTACTTTTGTTTCCTTGTTCTTTTATTTTTATTCTTTTTTCTTTTGAGACAGAGTTTCGCTCTTGTTGCCCAGGCTAGAGCACAGTGGTGTGATCTCGGCTCACTGCAGCCTCCACCTCCCGGGTTCAAGCAATTCTCCTGCCTCAGCTCCTGAGTAGCTGGTATTACAGGCATTTGCCACCACGCCCGGCTAATATTGTATTTTTAGTAGAGATGGGGTTTCTATGTTTTGATCAGGGTGGTCTCGAACTCCTGACCTCAGGTGATCCACCCGCCTCAGCCTCCCAAAGTGCTGGGATTACAGGCGTGAGCCACCGTGCCTGGCCTGCTCGTTGTTTTCATCTCATCCTGATTTCTGAATACAGGAGAGGAGCTGAGTTGGTGTTCACTAACAAGCACGAAAGCTTTGTTATATTTACAGTGTCATTCTTGGCAAAACCTGAATGGTATGTTTGTGGGGTGATGAGATTCAGTCCCCTGTGACCTGTACATCTGGCCAAAACTGTGGTGACATCCTTAGGAATCCATGGGGAGAGAGAAAGCATTCAGGAGTTAGTGGGTCACGTTTGACAAGCGCCAATAAAGAAATATGCAAAGACAAAAAACAAGAAGAACATTGTCATATTTTCTACCTTTTGTCTATATAAATTTATGTCAATGATTCTAGCTTATGTTAATATGCAATGTATACAATATGCTAACATATACAATATGTTTTTATAGTTTAAACATTTCTGTCATGTTTTCAGATTCTTTAAAGATTATATTACGCTTCCTATTTCAGATAGCTGTTTAAAATGAGTAAGGAAAAACGGATGTGTATATCAGTTCTAACTGTTTATGGACTAAAACTAATTGATTTCTTGGTTAAGAACAAAAAGTGACAACCTAATTACTGAAAATGTTAAGTAGGCAATTATAGTTTTAGCTTTAACGTAAAATATTAACTATGCTCCTTTCTTGCATTTTTAACCTAATACTCAATATAAATCGCCACATGCCATGTTTCAGATCAAGGTTCTACTTGTGATCTCTCATGAGTTTTTCAAGGTTTTAATTATCTGAGATGTAACAATGTACCAGTAAACTTACTGGCTTAAACCAGGAATTTATTCTTTTTACATGTCACAATTTTCTTGGTCAAGACACTGGACAGGGTGGTGTGGGTTTGTTGCTTCATGATCTCCCTGGTCTCATCTGTAAGGACTCTAGTGGCTGGGGACGTGAAGCAGGCACCCAGAAGGACTCTAGTGGCTGGGGACATGGAGCAGGCACCCAGCCCTCTCTTTGTGGCCAGCACGGACTTCCTCCCAGTCTGGCAGTAAGGTAGTCAGGTTTGTCTGGCTTCTCCCAGGGTGTGTGTCCAAGAGGCCCAGGCAGAAGCTGTAAGGTCTCTCATGATCATCCCTCAGAAGTCCCAGAGCATCTCTCCTGCCACACTGTCCAGTCGTACTCATCACTGAGATCAGCCATGATTCAAGGTGGGAAGGTGATTAGATTCCACCTCTTGATGAGAAGCATAGTAGGAACCTGCAGCAGTCTTTCATAAACCACAGCTTGTCCTCTGGCCACAAACTATTAACGTTTCTCCCACATGGAAATTATGCTTTGCCCCTCTCAAGAGCCCCAGAATGGTTTTCCTTATGGCACTGGCTGGTAGCCCAACTGAATCCTGAATCAGGTTGTGGTGGCCTGTCATCTGCACCCAACACACAGACACAGTGAGGACTGAATCAGGTTGTGGTGGCCTGTCATTTGACCCCCGACACACAGCCACAGTGGGGACTGAATCAGGTTGTGGTAGCCTGTCATCTGACCCCCCACACACAGCCACAGTGGGGACTGAATCAGGTTGTGGTGGCCTGTCATCTGCGCCCGACACACCCAGCCACAGTGAGGGGACTGCTGTGAAAACAGTCGACATTTCCCTTTAGAAGCTGTTGGTGGGAGGCAGGAGGGAGGTGCTGCCCTGAAGGCCCCGTTTAACAGTTGGTCATTCCCATGGGGCGCCTGTTACAGTTCTGTGATTAGTGCCCAGTCCTGGTCCCTGAGAACGGCGCCCAGTCCCCGTCCCTGAGAATGGTGTTTGTGTCCTTTTACTCCTCCCTCTGGGCTTTTGTCATTCTCCATGTTCTTTTTCCTTCAGTGCCTGGGTTGCTGTTGACCAACTTTCCCTGCCTTTTTCTTATGGTCAATAGGGTATTCAATGGCTTCTTTTTCATTTTTTTTTCCTTTTCTTTTCTTTTTTTTTTTTTTTTTTACTTTGGCCTTTTGAGACAAGAAATTATTTCTTTATATTTTCTCTAAATTCTGTTTGAAAACTGAACCTCCTTCTTTAGATCATGTCCCTCTCCTGTCATATTTATTCAGTGACAGTTAGGGGAGGCTGGTAGCACTTTCCATGTTCTTCCCAGATGTCTCCTTAGGCAGATCCCTGAGATGATGCAGTGCCCTTTCAGTTTCCATGTTGTGGTCGTAGTTTTCCCACAGTCCCTCAACACGTAACTCTCAGGCCTTTTCTCCAGTTTCCAATGACATTTTCTCACCGTCCTTCAGGCCCTGACCAAGAGTCTTGATGCCCTTCCAGGTTGCATGAATGGTCTCCTTGAGGCCCAGTTACAGGTCAGCCTCACAGTCGTGGCACATATTGTAGCTTCTGATTACCACAGCAGCTCATTTCCAGCTGCCATATTCTGTTCCAGTTATCTATTCTGAAGAAACCATCCCCAAAAGTTGGCAGCTTAAAACAACTCATTATTACTTGTTGTTTGGCTTAGAGAGTCTTGGTGGCCAGCTCATCTCACACACATTTGCAGCCAAGCTGGATTGTGTGAAAGCACAGTGGGGTGGTGTGCAGGGTGGCCCACTAGTGGTTGGGAGTGGATGTTGCTGGAGGCTCACTAGTTGTTGGGAGTCGGTGTTGCTGGAGGCTCAGTGGGGGATGTCAATGCGTGTAGCTAGTCATGGACTGGCCATGTGGTTTCTATCATGAGGTCTCAGGGGAGTGGGATTTCCTGCCTGGTGACTGGCTTTCTCCTGGATAAGTGTTCTGTTTTCTCAGCCTGGCTTCTGAAGTCCCCAAATACCACCTTTGTCACCTTCTGTTGGCCAAACAAGTCAGTAGTCTGGGCAAGGTTTAAGGGGAATTGGTTCTCACAGAGACAGGAGCAGGAAAGAATTTGTCACCTTTAGTCTACCAGAAATGAGATTTTTATAACAAGTTTGTTCCAAATACATTCCAGTTCCCCTTGTGAATACTTTTTTGACTCACAGGGTATTTCAAAGTTTATTACTTGGTTTTCAGACATTTGAGGCTTTTCTGGATATCAATTTGTTGTTGGTTTCTAATTTAATTTCAAGTGTTCAGACAACATACTTTGTATACTATTTCAGGCTTGAACCTTTTCTCAATCGATCGACATAGAGTCTATCTTGGTACTGCCAAGTACCATTTGGGTCAGGATTTTGTCATTTAGATCCGTATTTTTCCTATATTTTTATCTGGTTGTTCCATCAGTTACTGAGAGAGCAGTATTAATTCACCAGCTATAATTTTGGATTGTCAATTTCCTGCTTTTGTTCTGTTGTTTTTGATTCACATACGTTGAGGCTCTGTGTGTGTGTGTGTGTACTTTGTGTGCACTTTGAGGCACAATTTATAATTGTAACATCATCGTCTCTGATTCTTTTATTTTTATTAAATTACCCTGTTTATTTCTGGTGATATATTTTGTTCTGAAGCCTCTTTCATCTAGTGTTAACATCTCTGTTGGAGCTTTTTATGATTAGTGTCTGAATAGCATATTTTTACGATTAGTGTCTGCATAGCATATTTTTTCTCATACTTTGTATCTTTGTGTTTAAATTGTGTCTCTGTGGATGCCATATTTTTGGGTCTTGCCTTCCTCTCAGGTCTGGCAGTCTCTGTCTTAAGTAGAGTATTTGTCCAGTTACATTGTAACTAATCATTGCTAAGGTTGGATTTAGGTCTGCCATTTTTCTACTTATTTTCTATTTTTTTATTTTTTTTTAAGACAGGGTCTTGCTCTGTCACCCAGACTGTAGTGCAGTGGTGCAATCTTGGCTCACTGCAAACTCTGCCTCCCAGGCCCAACCAATCCTCACTTGAGCCCCCTGAGTAGCTGGGACTACACGTGCATGGCACCACACCTGGTTAATTTTTATATTTTTTGTAGAGATAGGGTTTTGCCATGTTGCACAGGCTGGTCTTGAACTCCTGAGCTCAAGCAATCTACCAACCTTGGCCTCCCAAAGTGTTCAGATTACAGGCATGAGCCACCATGTCTGGCCTTCATCTGTCTTTTGATCTTCTATATATTCTTTCCTAACTTCTTTTGGGTTAAATATTTCTAAATATTCCAGTTTGATTAATCTTTTGGCTTTTTGAAATAATTTTTTATAGGCTGGGCATGTTGGCTTATGCTCATAATCTCAGCTCTGTGGGAGTCCAAGGGAGGTGGATTGCTTGAGCCCAGGAGTTTGAGACCAGCCTGGGCAACATGGCAAAACCCTCTCTACAAAAAAACCAAACCAAAATTTAGACTGACATCTTGATGTGCACCTGTAGTCCCAACTATTCGGGAGGCTGAGGTGGGAGGATTGCTTGAGCCTGGGAGGTTGAGGCTGCAATGAGCTGTGATCATGCCATTGCACTCCTGCCAGGGCAACAGAGTAAGAACCTGTGTCAAAAAGATCATTTTTTATAAATAATTTATTATTTCGAATTTTGGTAACAAACACATACCTTAAAATTTACCATCATAACCAGTTGTAAGTATAGAGTTTTGTAGAGTTAAGAATATTTGCAGTGTTGTGTAGCAGATTTCTAGATTTTTTTTTTTTATCTTGGAAAACTCTATACCCATTCAACAACTATTTATTTCCCCTTCCTTCCACCTCCTGGCAAGTACTATTCTACTTTGTGTTTCTAAAAATTTGGCTAATATACCTAGGGTTATATAATATTTGTTGTTTTGTAAGTAGGTTCCATGTTATGTGTCAGATGTGTCAGGATTTTCTTCCTTTCTATGGCTGAATAATATTTCTTCATATATATATATATTTTTTTTCCTCTATCTATATATATATCTCCTTTTGTTTATCCATCTATTCCCGGATGGACGTTTTGGTTTCTTCCACCTTGTGGCTGTGTAATGCTCCTGTGAACACATAGGTGTGCACATATCGGTTTGAGGTCCTGCTACTAGTTATTTTGTCTCTGTAGAAGTTGGATGGCTGGATCATATGGTCATTTTATTTTATTTTTTTTGAGGAGCCAGTTCATATTTCCACCAACAGTGTTCAAGAGTTTCAGTTTCACCTGCACTTGTTACTTTCTGTTGGGTTTGAAGTGATGTCCCATTGTGGTTTCTATTTGCATTTCTCTAATGACTAGTGATGTTACACATCTTCTCATATATCTCATGTATCTGTTGGCTATTTGTATATCATCTTTGCATCTTTGGATAAATGTTCTTTGTCCATTTTTTAATCACTTTATTTTGTTGTTGTGTTGTAGCGGGGTTTTTTGGTCATGACCATTCATTTATTTCACAGTTCATTCTTGTTACTTGGGCCAGGGTCATGATCATTCATTATCTCTCAGTTCATCCTCATTACGTTGGGCAAACAGTCATGCTGCAGGGTATAGATTATGTTATTCTGTTACTTTCAGGTGAATTGGGGTCTAGGTTATAATTGTTTCTAAGTTTAGATTCTGAATGAGAATCAGCAGACGTAGACCACTGCTGCTGAGGCCTGGGGATTGCTGGGAAAAAGGCAGGAAACAGATACAGACCTGACCATGGAGGGTTTGTGTTTCACGGCTCCCATCTGGGTACCCAAGGAACCTACATGTAGCTCGTGTGTGGAGAGCCTACATTGCCCACTCAAAGCAATTGAGGATAGAACGGTCTTGGGGCTGGAGCTCATTATTTGGAATGATAACCACATCTGCACAGAGAGGACCTGATAAGATGTTGTCCTTCCATGTATATCTGGGAATCCTGTGTAGGGTCTCTCTGTAAGGACAGGGGCAGTATTGGCTCCTTGGCCTCTAGTTAACCTCACAAGTAGTCTAGTAAAGGCTTTGCAAACTTGTCACCATCTGTGGACATTCTGGCCAGCTCTTGTTTTCACCCTACTGACTTCTTCAGACACTAGGCTTTTGCTTTAGACCATTCATGGTTTTTCTTCCTCTTCAAATCAGTAATCAATAAATACTCTTCAAGTCAATAAATTTCCACTCCTTTAGGAAACCCTGATCTTCGGGTCGCACCACAAGGTTTAATTAACTCGTTTGATTGTTTTTCTGTTTTCCTGGGTTTTTTTTTTTTCCTTCTTCCTGGGGGTTTCTAGTAATTCTAGTTTGATGTCTCACTTTCTCCATTTTTTATTTCTTAGTTTTCTTCTGTGATTATTTTCACTGCAGCTGCAGGGCCTAATCCTGGGTTGGCAGAGAACTAGCACTTACTCTGCCCTAATTAGAATCCAGGAGAGATAGGAGGTGCCCTAGTGTGAAAATGTGTTTGCTCCTCTCTGCTTCTGGTAGTCTCTCTGTAGGAGTACTTTACGTATTCTGAATGTTCACTTCTTATGAGATACATGATGAGCTACTATAGGTTGAATGTCTCTGATCCAAAAATCTGAAATCCCAAATGCTCCAAAGTCTGAAACTTTTTGAGTGCCAACATGACACTCAAAGGAAATGCTTATTGGAGCATCTCAGACTCGGGTGTTTGAATTCGAGATGCTAAACCAGTAAGAATAATGCAAATATTACAAAATCTGAAATACATCCCAAGCATTTCAAATAAGGGACACTCAACTGGTATTTTATTTATTCTACAGTTTGCCTTTTACCCTGTTGGTTGTGACCTTTGAGGAACAGAAGTTTTTAGGTTTGATATATTTTTGCTTTTACTGCCTGAGATTTTAATGTCATATCCTAAAAATTATTGACAAATTCAACGTCATAAGGCATTTTCCAAATTTGTTTTCCCTAGGAGTTTGATAGTTCTAGTTTTACATTTAGGTTTATAATTCACTTTGAATTAATTTTAACATGGTGTAAGGTAAGCGTCCAACTTCATTGTTTTGCATGTAGATATACAATTTTCCCAACACCATTTGTTGAAGAAAGTGTCCTTCGCCATTGAGTGGTCTTGGCATCCTTGTGGAAGATCATTGGACCATATATGCCAGGGTTGGTTTCTGAGGTCTCCGTTGTGTTGGTCCATAAGTGTGTCAAGAGTGTCTTTTTGCCATGACCACATATTTTTTTTTGGCTTATTGCAGTTTTGTAATTGTTTTGAGACCTTTAATTTTGTTCTGTTTCAAGATTGATTTGCCTATTCATGGGCCCCATAGATTCCATATGAATTTTAGGATAGGATTTTCTGTTTATCAAAAATGTCATTGGAATCTTTATAAGGATTGTATTGAATCTAGGTCACTTCGAGTAGTGTTGACATCATTCCAAGATGAAATCATTTAATCTGTAAACCCAGCTTTTCTTTTCATTTATTTGTGTTTAATTTCTTTTAACAGTGTTTTGTAGTTTTCTGTGTTCAAATCTTTTGCCCTCTTGGTTAAGCTTATTTCTAATTTTCATAATGTTGTTGTAAATGTAATTCTTTTTTTTTTTTTTGAGATGGAGTCTTGCTCTGTCTCCCAGGCTGGAGTGCAGTGGCACTATCTCAGGTCACTGCAACCTGCACCTTCCCTATTCAAGCGATTCTCCAACCTCAGCCTCTCAAGTACCTGGGATCACAGGTGCGCGCCACCATGCCCAGCTAATTTTTTGATATTTTTAGTAGAGACAGGGTTTCTCCATGTTGACCAGGCTAGTCTTGAACTTGTGACCTCAGGTGATCTGCCCACTTTGGCCTCCCAAACTGCTGGGACTGCAGGCATGAACCACCGCACCTGGCCAAATATCATTCTTTTTAAAAATTTCTTTTCTTTTGTTTTCTCTTTTCTTTTCTTTTCTTCCTCTCTCTTTCTTTCCTTTCTTTCTTTTTTTTTGAGACCGCATCTCACTCTGTTTCCTAAGCTGGAGTGCAGTGGCACAATCTCAGCTGACTGCAACCTCCATCTTCCAAGTTCAAGCAATTCTCCTGCCTCAGCCTCCCAAGTAGCTGTGACTACAGGTGTCTGCCACTACACCCAGCTAATTTTTGTATTTTTAATAGAGATAGAGTTTTACTATTTATATTAGAGATGAGGTTGGCCCAGCTGGTCACGAACTCCTGACCTCAGGTGGTCCACCCACCTTGGCCTCCCAAAGTGCTGGGATTACAAGTGTGAGCCACTGCACCTGGTCTCTTTTTAAAATTTTATTTGCAGATTGTTCATTGTTAGTTTATAGAAATGCAACTGACTTGTGTGTGTTACTGTATCCTGAAACTTTGTTGAATTTCATTATTCTACCAGTATTTTGTGGAATTTCAGGATTTTTACACATTACATCCTGTTGTCTGTGAACAAAATTTTGTACTTTTTCCTTTCCAATTTGCATCCTTTTTATTACTTTCTCTTGCCTAATTATTCTGAGTAGAAATTCCAGTACTGTGATGAATAGAAGTGGCAGGAAGAGATGTTGCTATCTTATTCCTGATCCTAGAGGAAAAGATTTTAGTTTTTCACCATTGAGTAGGATGTTAGCTGTGAGCCTTTCATGTATAATCTTTATTTATTGAGGAGTTTCCATATATTACTAATTCTTTGAGTGTTTTTATTACAAAAGGTGTTCATCTGGCTCTGGAACCAGATAAACGTTGACCTGATAGAATGGATTGGAATGTCCCCTTCTGGTTTTTGAACATTTTTGGAATATTTTGCAGAGGATTGGCATTAATTCTTCTTGAAATGTTTGGTAAATTTTTCCAGTGAAGTTATCTGGACCTGGAATTTTCTTTTTTGGGGGGTTTTTGATTACTGGTTGAATCTTCTTACTAGTTACAGGTCTCTTTGGATTTTTTATTTCTCCCTGATGCAGTATGGCGTTTTGTGTTTCTAGGAATTTATAAATTTATTCTAGGTTGCCCAGTTTTGTGGCATATGGTTGCTCACATTAGTCTCTTGTAATCTTTTTCATTTTTGTGACATCTGTTGTACTGTCACCTCTTTTATTTAAGATTTTAGCATTTGAGATTTCTCTTTTTTTCTTAATATAGCTGTGAGTTTTAAAATTTTTATTGATCTTTAAAAAAACAAACTCAGTGTTTTTTTTCCTTTTTTCTGGTCTTATTCTGCTTATCTCTGCTCTAATCTGTTATTTTCTTCCTTTTGCTTGGTTTGTCATTAGTTTTTTTTTTTTTCCCCCCCTTCAGGTGTAATGTTAGGTTATTGATTTGAGATCTTTCTTCTTTTTAATTTAAGCACCTGCAGCTATAAGCTTCCCTTTAGCATGGGTTTGAGATCTTTCTTATTTTTAATTTAAGCATCTGCAGCTGTAAGCTTCCCTTTAGCACTGCCTTTGTTGCCTCCTCCTGAGTTTGGGTATGTCATGGTTTTCATTTGCTTAAACATTTTTTGTCCTATTGCAATATAATTGTGTTGTTTTTAATAAAGGTAATTAATGAAACCCATAATGAATTGTGCTTCTGTTTTTATAATATTTTAAGCATTCTTAACTCAGAAATGTAAATTTTAGAAAAAAATTCCAGGCCAGGCACAGTGTCTCACACCTGTAATCCCAGCACTTGAGGAGGCCGAGGCGGGAGGATCATCTGAGGTCAGGAGTTGGAGACCAGCCTGGCCAACATGGTGAAACCCTGTCTTTACTAAAAATAGAAAAAAAATATATAAAAGTTAGCTGGGTGTTGTGGTGGGTGCCTGTAATCCCAGCTACTCTGGAGGCTGAGGCAGGAGAATCACCTGAATCTGGGAGGCGGAGGTTGCAGTGAGCTGAGATTGCACCACTGCACTCCAGCCTGGGTGACAGAATGAGAGTCCGTCTCAAAAAAAAAGAAAAAAGAAAAATTTCAGACATATTTGTATTTCAATTTAGAAACTATGATCTCCTAAGTGTATTGACACAGCAACCTGACATAAAGATAAAGAATAATAAGCATATAACAAAACGGAAACTTGCAAATACCTGTTTTTTATTAATTTTTAATTATATATATTTAAAAATTGCCGGGTGCAGTGGCTTACACCTGTAATCCCAGCACTTTGGGAGGCTGAGGTGGGCAGATCACATGAGGTCAGGAGTTTGAGACCAGCCTGGCCAACATGGTGAAACCTCATCTCTATTAAAAATCAAAAAATTAGCCAGGCATGATAGCATGCATCTGTATTCCCAGCTACTCGGGAGACTGAGGCAGGAGAATTGCTTGAACATGGGAGGTAGAGGTTGCAGTGAGCCAAGATAGTGCCACTGCACTCCAGTCTGGGTGACAGAGTGAGACTCTGTCTCAAAAAAATAAAAATTGTCTGGGCGCGGTGGCTCACAACTATAATCGCAGCACTTTGGGAAGCTGAGGCAGGCAGATCACGTCAGGAGATCGATACCATCCCGGCTAACACGGTGAAACGCCATCTCTACTAAAAATACAAAAAATTAGCTGGGCGTGGTGGCGGGTGCCTGTAGTTCCAGCTACTCCGGAGGTTGAGGCAGGAGAATGGTGTGCACCTGGGAGGTGGAGCTTGCAGTGAGCCGAGATTGCGCCACTGGACTCCAGCCTCGGTGACAGAGCGAGACTCTGTCTCAAAAAAAAAAAAAAAAACAAAATAAAACTAAGGTGTGGTTGACATACAAAAATTACACATATTTAATATATACCTTTGTGTGTGTGTGTGTGTGTGTGTGTGTGTGTGTGTGTGTGTGTGTGTTACGGAGGTTTTACTTTTGTTGCCCAGGCTGGAGTGCAGTGACACGATCTCAGCTAGCTGCAACCTCCGCCTCCCGGGTTCAAACAATTCTCCTGCCTCAGCCTCCTGAGTAGCTGGGATCACAGGCTTGCGCCCCCATGCCCGGCTAATTATTGTATTTTTTTAGTAGAGACAGGATTTCATCATGTTGGCCAGGCTGGTCTCGAGCTCCTGACCTCAGATGATCCACCTGCCTCGAGGTGAAAAAATTTTTTTCACCTCGCATAAAGCAAAACTCCCTTGTCATCTCTCATGACAGAATCTAGTTGTAGGTGAGTCATGTCATCATAATACAGGCTGTTGTCAACCTCATCCCTCAAAGGAAGTTCCTCATAAGTGAGGAACTTATGTATTTACCTAATAGCATTCACTGCCTGGTCTTATTTCCAACCGAAGGTAAGTATGAAAGACTTTGTGATTCCAGTTTTATAAAGCACAACCCTTTGCACTTGTCCCCTTCCATTGCTAAAGAGTCTATCTGGACCCACCTCACAGAGCAAGATGCTCCAGGTTGTGCTGTGTAGTACGGCGTGGTGTCCTTTTCCTCAACCCTTTCTATTATGTGCCACATATCTATACAAATCATGTTTTCTAAGTATGTAAATCATATCTCATCAGAATACATCATTCTTTACAATGATAAAGAAGCAAAAGAAAAACAAAAGGACAAAGAACATCTTAAATGACTACATTCAACTGCCATGGAGCTTTAATTTTTTAACTACTCAAAAAGATATCCACTCTTCTTATTCCAACTGTATGACTCTTCTGAAAAAAGTAAAACTATGAAGACAGAGTAAACATCAATGGTTGTCACGAGTTGCTAGGGAGAAAGGGAGAGATGAACAGGCATAGCACAGAGAATTTTTAGGGCGGTGAAACTGTTCTGTCGATAATATTACAGTAATAGATACATGTCATGTCATTATACATTTGTCCAAATTCACAGAATGTACAGCATCTAGAGTGAGGCCTGATGTAAACTATGAACTTCAAGTGATTATAATGTGTCAATGTAAGTTCATCAGTTGTAACAAATGGACCACTCTCTGGTGGAAAATACTAATAATGGGGGAGGCTATGCGTGTGTGGGAGGCATGGGATATATGAGAAATCTCTGTACCTTCCTCTCAATTTTGCTGTGAACCTAAAACTACTCTAAGAAATAAGGTTATTGATTTAAAAAAAAATATTCAGCTGGGCTCAGTGGCTCATGCCTGTAATCTCAGCACTTTGGGAGGCAAAGGTGGGTGGATCACCTGAGGTCAGGAGTTCAAGACCAGCCTGGCCAACATGGCAAAACCTCATCTCTAATAAAAATACAAAAATTAGCTGGGCATGGTAGCTGGCACCTGTAATTTCAGCTACCTGGGAGGCTGAGGCAGGAGAATCGCTTGAGCCTAGAAAGCAGAGGTTGCAGTTAACCAAGATCGCACCACTGCACTGCAGCCTGGGAGACAGAGTGAGATTCTGTCTCAAAAAACAAAAAAGATATTCACTGTCTATGCATCCCAGGATCTCCAGAACAACAATTAAAATAAATAAATAAAAAAGATGGCTGGGGGCAGTGGCTCATGTCTGTAATCCCAGCACTTTGAGAGGCTGAGGTGGGTGGATCACCTGAGGTCAGGAGTTCGAGACCAGCCTGACTAACATGGTAAAACCTCATCTCTACTGAATATAAAAAATTAGCCGGGCATGATGGTGCATGCCTGTAGTTCCAGGTACCTGGGAGGCTGAGGCAGGAGAATCATTTGAACCTGGGATGTGGAGGTTGCAATGATCCAAGATTGTGTCATTGCACTGCAGCCTGGTCAACAAGAGCAAAACTCTGTCTCAAAAAAAAAAATAAGTAAATAAAATTAAAAATAAAGATAGTCACTGAACCTGTTACTATGATATATTTAAGCAAGACACGGTGACCCTAAAAATTAGAGATCATTGAAGACCAAAGTAACAACATGTGGTCATTATTTCTCAAATTGAAGTATATAAAATATATAAAATAAATAAATTTAATTGCATGCTTAGGTAAGAAAATATTGATAAAAATGATTGAATATTTTATCTTATTTCATAATTCTAAGCAGGGCTTTAGCACAATATGAAAACTAGATTATTCATGTAATCCAAATAAAAGACAATTTTTATTCTAATTTTAACTCAAATTATTTTGCTTATTTAACAATTTTACTGAAAGGTAAATGAGATAAATAGGACAGATTATAATTACCTAACATTGCTATGGTAACTTATGTACAAATAGCTGTTCGTCATCGAAAGTCAAAAAAGTAACCAGCGCTGCAACTTAAGATGGATCATACAACAGAAATTAGTACCAAGTTACCTTATCTTATAATATTATGTTATTAAAATGAAATTTTAAAACAACACCAAAAATTAAGGTGGGGCTATACAAAGTGTGCAGAAAAGATTTCATGTAACAGGCAAGAGACTGCCATCCTTAGAAAGGCCTGCATGCAAGGCTGGCCCTTGGGTGGTGTTTAGGAAATTGGAATTAGGAGGGTTTCCACCATTCCCTGAGAAGAGTGGCTCACTGTGTCTAAAGTTTTTATAGAAAGCGCCAATGGGTGAAATCCAAAGCAGCAGCTGGTGTATCCATTAACATTCTCAAAACAGGATGCATCTGGACTCCTGTGTGCAATCTTCATAGCACACAGACACTAAACAGAAAGGCAGTCATTGCTGCCAAACAGGACCCAAATGCCACACACAGTGCAATGAAGCTATAAGCTCCCTATGGAGAGAAAAGTAGACAAATCAAAAATATTCAATATCCAATCCAAGTCCACATTAAATCTTGATTCCAGAAACGTGCATTAACCACTTCAAAGACTAAAATTTAAACCATCTTTTCTATAGCGATTTCCCATTTGGTTGGCAGGCATACAGGAGTAGAGAATGATTTAATTTACTTACAAGTATTCAGAAAAGATAGTGACCTCTACATTCAACCAGCTACAGCAGCTTAGCACACAGCCAAAGCCTGCATCTCTCCCACCTTAAGATTTAGTGGTTGGCTAGAGTTAGCAGCATCCAGGCCACATCTATCTCTGCATTCTATGTTTGCTTCCAAGATAAAGATACAAATGCAGGCTGGCTCCAACCTAGCCAGAGATCCCAGCCCCACTCTCTGCATCCCAAAATCCCTCAAAGACTCAAGAGACTTTCCAGATTTCTACAGTCTCCTCACAGGTTCCCTTGACAGTTAAATGCCCTCTCTTTACCTCAACTAGCTGCAGGTAGAATATAATGGGTACAACAGAAAATCACTGTAAGTGTAATATGAAGATACACAGCCCTTTTAAGCATTTCATTATATTACATCTAGCTTACTTCTAAGTGATTTATTCAGATGTGACTGAAGAAAGTCTAAAGGGAAAAAAAGCAATTTAATTTGATAAATTAAATTCTCAATTATAGCCAAATTATTTGGCTATAACAAATTAAACATTTTAAGCAGACAGAAGATGCAAACATTTTAAGTTGACAGAAGATATAAAATGTTCACTATCAAAATGTCGCAACTGATAAAAATGTTCTCAAATATTTCTGTCTCAAACTTGCATTGTTCATTAAGGAAGCAAAATAGGTGGGACATACACAGCAACAACATCCCTCAAAAAACACCTTGGCTCCTTCCTATAAGCCAGGCAGCAAATACATCATCCTTACATATGTTAATTACCTTCCAATTTCAAATTCTCAACTGTGAAATAAAGGGCCATTTTATTTGGCTGCTTCCAGTTCAATATGACTGTTTTTATTAAAACATCTCTAACTTGAAAAATATTTGGTGTTTTCTAAAAAACTGCAAATTGCCACAAATGGCCAGATAATTTGGAATAAACACCCTACAGAAAAAAATATATATTCAAGTTGCATAAGTCACTTTGAGCAATCCTTTGAGGATATTTCATTTATATCTAAATGAACCACAGGTTTAGCTGGCTTTTCTGGAAAACCAGAAGCAAATAATGTATGATTATAATGAAAACCATCTCAAGCAATTTTGAAATGAAGTACCACATGTCTTATGCTGTCCCTTCCATGCACTTGACAAAACAGCCTATAACAAATTGTTTACTTTGAGATTTAACAGGAAAATTCCATGAGGTTTAAATGAGATGACTACTAATAAGCCATCTACCTTTGACTCTATTCCAATTAAAAATGGGTTAGGAAGGTGCTTTGAAAATCAAGTGTGTTCATCAGGGAATCATTTACCTAAGTCTTCTTAACACTGCTTAGTGAATTTTAAGCCTGATATAGTAAATACACGCTAACCACTAAATTGAAGGGGAAAGAGGGAGAACAAAGAGACACGTAAAGTACACTTACTTTTTCTAGTAGGAAAAAGCCAATTAAAACTATCACCTATTAGTTTTATTGGAATCAGTCTTACAGGAGGTCAAACTTCCTACTGTTGCTACCTATTCTCAATATTTTTCTTATTTCTTCCTAAACTTCTAGAGCCGTGCTGTCCAATAAATATGTGAGCCACATATGTAATTTTAAATGTACTAGTAAGCCCCATTAAAAGGTGAAATTAATTTTAAATATACTTAACTCAGTATGTCCCAAATAGTAATCATAGTAATAATTTTAACATGTAATCAATATAAAAAATTATCAAGCAGATATTCTACGCTGTTCTTCCCACTCCAATGACAAAATCCAGTATATTTAACACAACACATCTCAATTAGGACTAGCCAGGATTTCAAGTGCTCAACAGTTACAGGTGGCTAGCGCCTACTGAATTGGACACTACAGTTTCAGTGCATTGAATTTCTATCCCACTTAGCGCTGATTAAAACTTCACCCTCTCACCTGATAATTATACTAAGATCTCAGAAAGTAACCCACTACAGGCAGTTTCAAGCCCTAATTTACCTCTAATTACTCTTACAGCAATGCAATGAATCATGATTTAAAATTTAAAAAAAAAATTGCTGTTAAATTATTAGTCAAGCGCCCAGGGCAATGGACAGTAAAGAAATAATGTAGGCCATGGGCCGAGATGACAAAACGGTCCTTTTATTTAAAGCTATAACAATAATCTGAAGCCAGCCCTGTAAAATAGACATCCATTGAAAAAGGCATGCTAGTTCTTTTGCTTTTTTGTGTACTTGGCCTCCTGTGTCCCTAAACAGACCTCTTCTCAGCAGGGTTTGCTCAGCAAGTCACTTGTTGAGTCTTGCGGTCAACAGAGGGGGTAGGGAATGGCAGGGGCTGGCATAGGAGTGAGGGGGAGGAGGCAAGGTGAGGGGGGCCAGGTGAGGAGGGGGGCACTTGAAGGGGAGTTCAAGACCAGCCTGGGCAACATGGTGAGACCACCGCCCCTCACCGCCGCAATCTCTGGTCTCACTCTGGTCTCACACACATGCACAAATTAAATTTAATTTAAAAATTAAAAAATTGTTTTAAAATAAGTGAAATATTTACATGGATTATGTATACATTCATTTTGTAGAACTATAGATCCCATGTAACTGGGAACTCTTTACTCTTCTAACACAACATTTATTTAGCCACAAATAAAAGACCAGTGATGTAGCTTGTACACAAAAAAGTAAGAAAACACTGGTTAGGCTGCGGCAGGGGTAGGGGGAAGAGATCTACAAAATTAAAATTTTATTGGGAAGGATCACTAATTAGAATCAGAACAATTACTGCTTTAAAGTAGTTAAGAACAGAGCACAAGGAACCCAGAGAAGAAGCAGATATGATTCAGAGCAGAGCTTACAGAGCAGATGCTATCTGAGCCGAGACTGATAGAATAACATTAATAAGGGCATTCACGGCCATTTATTATCACTTAACTGCAATGCATTTGGTATAAGTTATTTCTACTCTTCATATCAACCATGGAAAATAATACTTATTCTCCTCTTTTGAAGTTAAAGAAGTGGTAAGTGGTCTAAGAAGATAAATTAACATACCAACACCATATAGCTCAAGTTCAGTGACTCAAGAGGGCCTGCGTCTCCCCAAGAGGTTGCTCAGCAGGCAGACGAGGTAGAGAGCCCTTCCAAGAAGTGACAGTGAGATGTGAAGGGTCTCAGTGTGTCTCTGAGAACAACAGAAACCAGTATGTAGGCCAAGTGGGAAAAGCCACGGAAGAGGCAGGGATTTCCTCTTAAGATAGCAAGAATAAACAGAGCAGGGCTGAGGGAAGCCATGGAAAACGGGCAGAATACCATGCATTTAGTGAGAAAAAAACAACTTTTACTTTAGAAAGGGGGAAAGAATGGTGGTGGTCTAGGTAAGCCTAGAAGCAGAGGAAAGGGCAATGGAGAAAAAATAAACAAAATGTATGAGTCAGGGTTCTCCAGAGGGACAGAACCAACAAGATACACGTATATGTATAAGGGAGATTACGAGAGAGAATTGGTTCACACGGTTAGAAGGCAGTCCCACAATAGGCTGTCTGCCAGGTAGGGAAAGAGAGAAGCTAGTAGTGGCTCAGTCCAAGTCCAAAAGCCTCAAAACCAGGAAAGCCCGCAGTGCAGTCTTCAGTATGAGGCCGAGGGCCTGAGAGCCTCGGGGAAGCCGCTGGTACAAGTCCCAGAGTCCAAAGGCGTAAGAACCTGGAGTCTCATGTCCGAGGGCAGGAAGAAGGGAAGCAAGTGTCCTGCACGGGAAGAAGAAAAAAAGAGAGCCAGAAGCTTCAGCTAGTAAGGTTATCCCATCTTCCTCCGCCTGCTTTATTCTATACGGTGCAGCGTGTGTACACCACTTCTGTGATATTGTTCCTAATATCCATGGGAAGAAAGAGTGATGTTTCTCCCAATAGCGTATGGGGGTGTACATCCCCTGTGATATTATTCCTAGTATGCAGGGGCAGGGGAAGGATGACATTACTCCCAATATCGCAGAGGGTGTACTCCCTGCCTTGGGTTATTGTTCCTAATATTTAGGGGATAGTGGGTGATATTACTCTCAATATCACAGGGGGTGTGCACCCCCGGTGGTATTCTTCCTAATATGCGGGGTGGGGGGAGAGGTTGATATTACTGTCAATGTCACAGGGGGTGTACATCCTCCCGTGTTATTGTTCCTAATATCTGGGGGGGGGAGAGGATATTACTGTCACTATCACAGGGGGTGTAGACCCCTTCAGTGATATTGTTACTAATATCTGGGGAGGAGAGGATGATATTACTGTCATTATTGCAGGGGGTGTACACCCCCCATGGTATTGTTCCTAATATCCGGGGGGGGGGAAGAGGAAATTACTGTCAATATCACAGTGGGTGTACACCTCTTCTGTGATATTGTTCCTAATATCCAGGGGGGAGAGGATATTACTGTCAATATCGCAGGGAGTGTACAACCCTTCTGTGATATTGCTCCTAATATCCGGGGGTGGGAGAGGATATTACTGTCAACATCGCAGGGGGTGTACACCCCTTCTGTGATATTGTTCCTAATATCCAGGTGGGGAGAGGATCATATCACTTTCAATATCGCCAAGTGTGTACATCCCCATTGTGATATTGTTCCTATATTTAGGGGATAGTGGATTACATTACTGTCAATATCGCAGGGGGTGTGCACCCCCCCATGGTATTGTTCCTAATGTCCAGCAAGGGAGAAAACACTACTACTTCCAATATGGCAGGGGGTGTACACGTCCTATGCGATACTGTTCCTATATCCACGGGGGAAAAGGATATTGGGAACAATATTACAAACAATATCACAGGGGGGTGTACATGTCCTGAGATATGAGGAGTAATATCACCCTCTCCCCCTCTAGATATTACAAACTGTATCACAGAGGGGTGTAAACCCCTTGCGATGTGGAAAGTAATATCATCCTCTCCCCCACTGGATATTACAAATAATATCACAGACGGTGTACATGTGAGGTGTTTATGATATTGGGAGTAATATCATATCCCCCAGTGGATATTATGAACAATATCACAGAGGGGTGTATACACACTCTGCCTTATAGGGAGTAATATACTCCTCTCCCACCCTGGATATTACAAAAAATATCACAGAGGGTGTACACACAGGGTGTTTATGGTATTGGAAGTAGTATTATCTCCCCCGTGGATATTACTAATAATATCACAGGGGTGTGTACATCCCCTGTGATACAGGGAGTAATATCATCCTTTCCCAGCCTGGATATTACAAACAATATGGCAGGGGGCAGTACACCCTGGCGATATGTGTAGTAACATCATCTCCTCCCCACGTGGATATTATGAACAATATTCTAGGGGGTTGTACACCCCCTGCAATATGGGGAGTAGCATCATCCTCTCCCCCACTAGATATTATAAACAATATCACAAGGGGGTGTACACTTCCTGCGATAAAAGGAGAAATATAGTTCTTTCCCCCCAGAGATATTATGAACAATATCACAGGGAATTGTTCTCCCATGCTATATGGGGAGTAACATCTTCATCTTCCCCCTGGATATTACGAAAAATAATGCAGGGGAATGTAAATCCCCTGCGATATGGGGAGTAAAATCATTCTCTCTGGCCAGGAGCGGTGGCTCACACCTGTAATCCCAGCACTTTGGGAAGCCAAGGCGGGCAGATCACGAGGTCAGGAGATCGAGACCATCCTGGCTAACATGGTGAAACCCCGTCTCTACTAAAAATACAAAAAATTAGCCGGGCGCGGTGGCGGGCGCCTGTAGTCCCAGCTACTAGGGAGGCTGAGGCAGGAGAATGGTGTGAACCTGGGAGGCGTTGCTTGCAGTGTGCCAAGATCAGGCCACTGCACTCCAACCCGGGCGACAGAGCAAGGCTCTGTCTCAAAAAAAAAAAAAAAAATCAAATCATTCTCTCCCTCCCTGGATATTATGGACAATATCACAGGGGTGTGTAGAATGAATTTCTAGAATATATTTGAGGAGGGTGACGGGCGGTGTGTGCATGCTTCATGGCCTTATTCAATTAAACACTCTGCTCTCAATTTATTGCTAAATCCTCCTTGAGCCCTTAGATTTCATAACGGTTGTCGCGACATTTTTCTGGATGTAGAAAACGTTCCCATTTCTTGCCACCTCATGGGCTACACCTTGACCTAAAGTTTTTATGTAGATACTTGTGCTTACTCTGCGGCCTTTCCAGCGTTTGCTGAAGATGGAGGTATTTAGGCTGGGTAAGAGGTGGTGAGGTAAATTGCGGTTTATCGATTATAGAACAGGCTCCTTTAGAGGGCTATAAAGCACCGCCAAGTCCTTTGAGTTTTAAGCTGTTGCTTGTAGTGTTCTGGCCAACAGTTTTGTTGATCTAACTATTCGAGTTTAGAGTTAAGCATAGCGGGGTATCTACTCCCAGTTTGGATCTTAGCTATTTTGTCTTCAGAATATTAAAGGCACCTTCGTAGTTATTTCAGCTGGGGTGTTTTTACAACTTTTTTACAACTTATTTAGAAACTTTCAGGTTTCTAAATGTATGAATGAACCATAATATAAGCCTCAGCCAATACAATGCTGGTTAGGCCTCCTACTGTAAAAAGGAAAATAAATCCCCGGGCTCACAGCATTGCGGGGGATCATTTGATATTACCGCCGTGAAGTGTAGCTAGCTAGTCAGCTAAAAACTTTGACGCTAGTAGGAATAGCAATAATTATAATAGCAGAGGTGAAGCAGGCTCATGTATCCACATCTATCCCTACCGTAAATATACGGTGGGCCCATACAATAAACTGTAAGGATCCAACTGATCCTATAGCTCACACTAGGCCCATATACCTGAATGGTTCTTTTTTTTCCAGAATAGTATGTTACGACGTGGGAAATTATCCCAAAGCCCAGTGGGATGAGGATGTAGATTTCAGGGTGACCAAAGAATCTGAATAAATGCTGAAATAAGACAGGATCACCTCCGCCAGCCAGGTAGAAAAAAATAGTATTAAGATTGCAGTCAGTTAACAATATAGTGATGCTGGCGGCTAGGACTCGGAGACAAAGGAGTAGAAGAACTGCTGTAATTAGGACTAATCAGATGAAGAGGGGTGTGTGATATTGGGACATGGCTGGGGGTTTTATATTAACAATTGTGGTAATAAAGTTAATAGCCCCTCAAGTAGAAGAAACACCTGTCAAGTGGAGTGAAAAGATAGTGAAATCTACAGAGGCGCCTGCATGTGTTAGGTTTCTTGCTAAGGGAGGAGAGACTGTTCAGCCGGTTCCAGTGCCGGCTTCTACTATAGTGGATGCAAGTAATAATAGGAAGGAGGGTGGGAGGAGTCAGAAGCTCATATTATTTATGCAGAGAAATGCTATATCGGGGGCGCCAATTATCGGGGGACTAATCAGTTGCCAAGACCTCCAATTATAGTATTACTATAAAGAAAATTATGACAAATGCATAGGCTATAACAATGACATAAATTTGATCATCTAGTAGAGTTCAGCTCGAATAAGGCTTAAAGCTGTACTGACTATCCCTGCTCATGTGCCAAATAATAAATATAATGTCCCGATATCTTTATGGTTGGTTGAGAATAGTCAACTGTCAGCCAACATAAATGAAGTGAGAAAAAAGGGTAAAATGACTGAGTAGGGCATTAGACTGTACATCTAAAAACAGAGGTCAACGCCTGTTTTTACCAGTCCCAAGGTGATTTTCATGTTGAATTGTAAATTCAAAGAAGCAGCTTCAATCCTGCTTCTCTCACCCTTTTTCCCCCAGCGGCTGGAGAAGTAGATTCAAACCAGTTGACTAGGGAGTTTAGCTGTTAAGTTTTCATGGGTTTAAGTCTCATCAATTTAGTAAGGACTTAGCTTACTTAAAGTGATTGATCTGTATTCAATTGACCAAGGGTGTTCTGTATCTGAGAAAGTACATTTCAGGGTCACCATACAACAACTGTTCAAAAAGGCCTCCAATATGGGACAGTCCTATTTATTATCTCAGAAATATTCCTCTTCGCTGGATTCTTTTGAGCATTCTACCATTCTAGCCTAGCCCCTACTCCAGAATTAGGAGGGCATTGACCCCCAACAGGTATTTCTCCCCTTGACCCCCTGGAAGTACCTCTCCTGAATCCATCTGTATTACTTGCATCAGGAGTTTCAATTACTTGAGCCCATCACAGCCTAACAAAAAATAATCAAAAACATACAATCCAAGCACTACCTGTTACAATTATATTAGATATTTACTTCACCCTCCTACAAGTCTCAGAATACTTCAAAGCTCCCTTTGCTATTTCTGATGGTATTTATGGCTCAACATTTTTTATAGCTACAGGCTTTCACAGAATTCACGTCATTATTGGGTCAACATTCCTCAGTCTGCCTTCTCCGCCAATTAAAATACCACTTTACATCTAGTCATCACTTTGCCTTTGAAGCCGCTGCCTGATATCGACACTTTGTAGATGTAGTATGACTATTCTTGTATGTTTCTACTTATTGATGAGGATCTTACTCTTTTAGTATAAATAGTACCATGATTTCCAAAGTTTTGATAGCATCCGAAAAACAGTAATTCACCTAACATTAACCCTAGTAATCAACACCCTATTTGCCCTGTTACTAATAATTATTACATTTTGGCTCCCACAACTTAATATATATATGTAGAGAGAGAGAAAAATATATATATATGTATAAAATAAATATATATAGAAAAATCTAGCCCTTATGAATGCAGATTTGACCCTCTATCCTCTGCCCACATTCCCTTCTCCATAAAATTCTTTCTAGTAGCCATCACATTTCCCCTATTTGAGTTAGAACTCGCCCTACTACTACCCTTACTGTGAGCCCTTCAAACAATCTGATACTAATAATCCCTGCGATATGTGTAGTGACTTCATACTTCACCCCCCCGGATATTACGGCCAATATCAGAGTGGAGTGTGCACCCCCTGCAATATGGGGAGTGATATCATCCTCCCCCCACTGGATGTTATGGACAATATCGCAGGAGGTTTACTTTCTCTGGGTTATGGGGAAAAATATCCTCCTGTTCCCGCCTGGATGTTAGACATATTTAGAGGGGGTTGTCCACCCCCTGTGATATGGGGAGTAGTAATATCCTCTCCTGTCCTGGATGTTATGGACAATATATAGGGAGATGTACAATCCCTTCGATATGGGGAGTAATATCATCCTCTTTCCCCTAAACGTTATGAACAGTATCACAGGGGGGTGTACACCCCCTGCAATATCTGGAGTAGTATCATCCCCTTCTTCCCTAAATGTTACAGAGACTATCACAGGGGTGTGTACACCTTCTGAAACATGGGAATAATATTCTCTTCCCCTCTGGATGTTATTATGGACAACATTACAGCCGTGTGCACCCTCTATGATATGCAGAGTAATATCATCCTCTCCCCCCCAGATGTAAGTGACAATACCACAAACGGGTTTACATCCCCCGTGATATGGGGAGTAATATCATCCTCTTTCCCACTGAATATTAACAATATCACTTGGGGATGTACAACCCCTGTGATATTCGGAATAATATCTTCTAATCCACTGAAAATTATAAACAATATCACCAGTGTACACTCCCTGTGATATTGGAAGTAATATCATCCTCTAATCCCCTAAAAATTATGAACAGTATCACAGGGGAGTGTATACTTCCTACTATATTGGGAGTAATATCATCCTGTCGTCTTCTAAATATTATGAACAATATTACAGGGGATGTAACACTCCCTGCGATATGTGGAGTAATATCATCCTCTCCTTCCCTAAATATTGTGAACAATATCACAGGAGGTTGTACACAATCTGCGATATTGTTTGTAGTATCCAGTGGGAAAGAGGATGCTATTACTCCCCATATCACAGGGGGTGTACACCCCCACTGTGATATATTCAATAACATCCAGAAGTAATATTACTGACAAAATTGCAGGGGGTGTAAACCCCACCTGTGATACCGTTCCTAATATCCCGGGGAAGACAGGATGATATTATTCCCAATATTGCAGGGGGTGTACACCCACCCTATGATATTGTTATTAATACCCAGGAGGGGAGACAATGGTATTACTCACAGTATCAAAGAGGTTGTACAGCCCCCCTGTGATAGTTTTTAATATCCAGGGGGTGTATACCACCCTTGTGATATTGTTTCTAATATGTAGGGGGAAGGACAATGATATTACTGTCCGTATCACAGGGGGTGTACAACAAGCCCACCGGGATATCATTCCTAATATCCATAGGAAGAAAGAATATTATAATATCACAGAAGTTGTACACCCCCTCTGTGATATTGTTCCTAATATCAAAGACAGAAGGGTATGATGTTCTTCCCAAAATCACAGGAAGTGTATACACACCCTGTGCTATTTTTCCTAATATCGAGAGTGAGAGACAATGATACTTCCAATATCGTAAGGACTGTACACTCTCCCCGTGATACCAGGTGGGGAAATGTTGATATTACTCCAAATGTCACAGTGGGTGTACACACGTTTTGCGATATTGTTCCTAATATCAAGTGGGGAGGAGGATTGTATTACTCCCACCATATTACTCCCCACACCCCATTATACTGTCCTTAATATCCAGATTTGGAGAGGATGATATTACTCCCAAAATCTCAGGAGGTGTAGACCCCTTCTGTGATACTGTTTCTTATATCCAGGGGAAGACTAGATGATAGTACTCCCAACAGTGCAGGGTGTTACACGCCACCCCCCATGATATTGTCTCTAATATCAAGTGGGGGAGAGGGTGATATTGCTCCAAATAGTGTAAAGGGTGTACACCAGCACTGTGATATTATTCCTAGTATCCACAGAAGGAGAGAATGGTATTATTTTTAATATCACAGAGGGTGCACATCCCCCTTGTGATACTGCTCCTAACATCCAAGGGGTAGAGGATGAAATTACTCCCAATATCACAGTGGGTATACACCTCCCCGTGGTATTGTTCCTAATATCCAGGGGGTATAGGATGATAGTACTATAAATATTGCAAGGGGTGTACACCCCTTCTGCTATTGTTACTAATATCCGTTGGGGGAGTCGATGATATTACTTCCAATATCACAGGGCATGTACACCCCCCTTGTGATATTGTTCCTAATATCCTGGGAGGAGACTACGATATTACTGGCAATATCGCAGGGTGTGTGCATTCCCGTGATATTGTTCCTAATGTCTAGCAAGGGAGAAAATATTACTCCCAATATGGCGGGGGTGTACACTTCCCATGCGATATCGTTCCTAATATCCATGGGGGAAAAGGATGATATTACTCTAAATGGCGCAGGAGGTGTAAGCTGCCCCTGTGATATTGTTCTCAATATCCATGGGGGGAGAGAATGATATTACTCCCAATATCACAAGTGGTGTACAACCCTCCTGTTATATTATTCCTAATATCCAGGTTGGGAGAGAATAATATTACAGGTAAAATAGCAGGGGGTGTACACTCTGCCTGTGATATTGTTCCTAATATTCCAGGGAAGAGTGGACAATATTACTCTCAATATCGCAGGATGTGTACACCCCCTTTGTGATATTGTTCCTAATATCCATAGGGGGAGAGGGTGATACCACTCCCAATAGTGCAGAAAGGTACAGCCCCGCTGTGATATCCTTCCTAATATCCAGAGGGGACAGGATGATATTACTCCCAATATCACAGAGGGCATACACCCCCTCCCCATGATATTGTTCATAATACCCAGGGGGTAGAGGATGATATTACTCCCAATATCGCAGTGGGTGTACACCCACCCTGTGATATTGTTCCTAATATCCATGTGGAAAGGGTATAAAGTTACTCCCAATATCACAGGGGTTGTACAACCCCCTTGTGATATTGTTCCTTATATTCGGGGGAGAGACAATGATATAGCCGTCCATATTGCAGGTGGTGTACAATCCCCTGGGAATTTGTTCCTAATATTCAGTGGGGAAGATGATATTAATTAAAATGTCACGGGGGGTATACAACCCCTTTGTGATATTATTACTAATATCCAGGGAAAGAAAGAATATTATTCCCAATATAGCAGGGGATGTACACCCCTCTCTGATACTCTTTCTAATATCCCTTTGGGGAGTCTATAATATTACTGGCAATATCATAAGGAGTGTATACCCCCCGTTATATTTTTCCTTATGTCCAGCAAGGGAGAAAATATTAATCCCAATATGGAACAGGGTGTACACACCCATGAGGTATTGTTCCTAATATCCAGGGAGGGAAAGGATGATATTACTCCCAATGTTGCAGTGGTGTATAACCCCCCGTGATATTGTTCCTAATATCTAGGTGGGGAAAGTACAGTATTACTCCCAATATAGCAGGGGTTGTACACCACCTTTGTGATATTGTTCTACATATCCATGGGGAAAGAAAATGATAGTACTCCACAATATCACAGGTGGTGTACAACCCCTTGTGATACTGTTTCTAATATCCATGTTGGGGGAGGATATTACTCCCAATATTGCACGTGTTGCACAGACCCCCTTTGATATTGCTTGTACTATGCAGGGTGTGGGGGGAGAGGATGATATTGGGAGTAATATCACCCTCTCTCCCTGGATATTAAAAGCAATATTCAGGGTGGTCGACACTTCCTGCAATATTGAGTATAATATCCTCTCCCAACCTGCATATTAGGAACAATATCACAGGGGCATGTACACTCCCTTCCTTTCACCATATACAAAAATCAACTCAAGATGGATGAAGGACTTATGTAAGACCCAAAACTATATAAACCCTAGAAGAAAACTTAGGAAATATCATTCTGGACATAGACGCAGGCAAATATTTCATGATGAAGGTTCCAAAAGCAATTGCAACAAGAAGAATTGACGAGTGGGACCTAATGAAACTAAAGAGCTTCAGCACAGCAAAAGAAACTATCAACAGAGAACACCCTACAGAACAGAAGAAAATATTTTCAAATTACATATCTGAAAAAGGTCTAATACTTAGCATGTATAAAGAATCAATAAGCAAAAAACAAACCCACTACAAATAGGCAAAGAACATGAGCCCCCACATTCATCATCCTCAAGTCCATGTGCAACTTCTTTCTGGATGCTGGACAAGGACTTGTGTACCAAGAGGGCACTGAACGGGTTAACACTTAAGCTGTCTGTGGATTCTTTTTTCAAAAGACAAAGTATGTATGGCAAACAACCATATGAAAAAATACTCAACATCACTAATCATCAGAAAATCAGAACCATGAGATACCATATCACACCGGTCAGAATGGCTATTATTAAAAAATCAAAACATAACAGACGGTGCCGAGTTTGTGGAAAAAAGGGAATGCTTATACACTGCTGGTGGTGATATAGAAAGGAGACAGGGAAATACTGGGTAGAAGAGAGTGGTTCCCTGGCAAAGCCGTGCCCACAAGCCTGGAAACCCATGGCCCTAAATGGGAACAGGCATTCCTGCTTTTGCACCCAAAATTGTCTTTCAGCTCACCATGCACCCCCTGTCCTGTACCCATATATGCCCCAGACCCCAGGCTCCAGAAGCAGACAAGCAGATGAGGAGATGAACAGAAGAGCAGAATTGCAGAATGATGTGGCAGAAAAAAGAGAAGGAGCATCTGAATGCCAAGAGGAGTTTGGCTGGCAGTGGTTGGAGAGATCAGCCTCTGGATGGCAAAGCTCCCGGGGAAGATCATCTTCCCATTCCATCCCCTTTCCAGCTCCCCATCCATCCCATTGAGTGCCACCTCCACCACTCAATAAAACCCCCACATTCACCATCCTCAAGTCTGTGTGCAACTTAATTCTTTCTGGATGCTGGACAAGGAACTGGGTACCAAGAGGGCACTGAACAGGTTAACACTTAAGCCGTCTGTGGATGGCAAAGCTAAAAGAGTGCACTGTAACACATGCCCACTTGTGCTGTGGGAGTCGCAGGAACCCACCCCTAGACAGTACCATGGCCACTTGCCCTGCCTATTGCACCTGCCTGTCTGCATGCTTCCCTGCCCAGTAAGGGGTTTGACAGCACACACGGTGGCCAGACAAGCCACACCCCTGTTGCACATTCTGCCAAGGGGAGTCAGGGAAGTCTCCAGTTTCATCAGGAATGTAAATTTGTTCAGCCATTGTGGAAGGCAGTTTGGAGATTTCTGAAATAACTTAAAACAGAACTACCATTCAACCCAGCAATCCCATTATTGGGTATATACCCAAAGGAATATAAATCATTCTGTCATAGACATATGCATGCATATTTTCATTATAACACTATTCACAATAGCAAAGACACGGAATCAATTTAGATGCCTGTTAACAGAAGACTGGATTAAAAAAATGCAGCGTACATACACCATGGAATACTACACACCTATAAAATAGGATGAAATAATGTCTTTTGCAGCAACATGAATGGAGCTGGATACCATTATTCTAAGTGAATTAATGCAGGAACAGAAAACCAAACAAACACTGCATGTTCTCACTTATAAGTGGGGGCTAAACATTGAGTCCACATGGACATAGAGAAGGGAACAAGAGACACAAGGTCTACTGTGGGTGGAGGGTGGGGGGGAGAGTGAGGATCAAAAAACTCCCTATTAGATACTACGTTCACTACCTGGATGACTACGTAATCTGTACACCAAATCCCATTGACACACATTTTACCCATATAATAAACCTGCACATGTACCCGCTGAACCTAAAATAAATGTTGGAAGGAAATAAAGTTACAACCAACTCTTGTACTATTGTGAGGAAACAATCATATGTGTTGACAAAAAATCAGCTACTAATAGATTTATAATAGTATATATGTAGCAGAAAAATATCAGATATAACTTATATACCCAAAAGTATGACTTAAAAACAGCATGACAATCTTTATGATGCGATATTGTGCAACTACTAGAAGCACATTTTCAGAGATTATTTATTAACATATGATAATGACTACATTGAGTGGTTTTTAGAAGCATGAATTGAAACCATGTATAAGCATGACTTTATTGAACTTATATATAACATTACACACACATTTACATAATTATAAAATAAGTATGCTCATGTTCATAATATGTATTTATTTATATTCATATGTAAGGCCAATAGGAAGTAATCTCTGTATCTGAGTTATTATTTCATAAATAATTTATGCTTGTTCTGTGAAAATAAAAACACTGCTATGGATCTTCCAAGTATCCTGAAAGGATACCATTTATAATTAAACAATAACAATTTTAGAAATAATTATTTTAAATAAGGCTATGATAAATCTGGTTTCATTGCACACTTTAACTTTGGAACATTTCATGAAGCGTCCCTTGATCACGACTCTCATATTCAGGAGTTTTTTGAGATCAAAATGGGACAATCAGTATGAATCTATTTTTTAGACATGCAAATGGATAACTTTAAATAGCAGTAGCGATATAATCAGAGTGCACAGTTGCTGTGGGACAAAACTTGGAAATGAGCATATTTTTAGATTCTTAATGTTTTACACACTTTAGCATTCCACAGCACCATTACATACTCATTTTTCTACTAGAATACCTTGGTAAAAATTCACAGTAGAGATCAGGCTTGTCCTTCATACATTAACTAATCAAGTAGGAAAGTGCAAATGAGAACACAGTGCCAAACATAGGCACCACATGGAAACAAGCATGGGACTGCCAGGAAGCCATTTTTGTAGCTTTGTAGCCCAATTATATTTTTCCTAATGTATTGCACACAAAACTTGGGGGAAAAAAAGAGGCAGAGAGAAAACAGGTTATATCGGCCCTATCTCACAATCCACAAGTTCATCCTATTAGAGGAGTAACTATGTAAAACAAATTTTATCTGTTGAATGTCCTATTTAGTTAATCGCAAAACTGTACGAGAACACACTTGTGACTTATTTAGCAGCTTGTTTGTTCGCTTTCCACTGGCTTCACAAATGTCCTTTGGAAATAGAATGTACATTTGGAACCTTGTACACCTTTTCTTTCTCCAGTACCCTCTTGTCACTTCCATCACTAAGGTGACAGAAGCAACTAAGGGCAATGCATTTGTACACACCTGGGTCAGAGGTATCCTCCAGGGGAAGGATCAGACCTGCTTGAAAGCATGTCGTTGGAATTGGGAGGCTTCTAGTAGCTATAACATAAGCACTGATGTTTACTCTTCCCTGCCCTCCACTTTGATCACTCTGGGAAAAGTTTTTTTTTAAAAAATCAATTGTATTGAAACATAATTTACATAAAATAAATACTATTTTAAAGTGCACAGTTTGCTGAGTTTTGCCAGATGTAACCATCCAGGTGAATAAAATTGATTAAACTGATCTTTCAAATAATAAATTAACTTTGCAATCTTGCTAGAAATTTAATTTGTTCACAGTTTATTATCCATTCTATGTACTGCTACATTCAATTGGTTATTATGTTTTAAGGACTTTTGAGTCTGTGTTTATGAGGGATAAACATCAAAGTTGTATAATGCCTTTGTCTGGATTTGGAATCGGCAATACTGGGTTCATAAAATAAGATAGGAAATGTCCCTTTAAATTTTCTTTTTTTTTTTTTTTTTTTTGAGACGGAGATTCACTCTTGTTGCCCAGGCTGGAGTGCAATGGCACAATTTCGGCTCTCCACAATCTCTGCCTCCCAGATTCAAGCTATTCTCCTGCCTCTGTCTCCCGAGGAGCTGAGATTACAGGTAAGCGCCACCATGCCCTGCTAATTATGTACTTTTAGTAGAGACGGGGGTTTCTCCATGCTGGTCAGGTTGGTCTCAAACTCCTGACCCCAGGTGATCTGTCCGTCTTGGCCTCCCAAAGTGCTGGGATTACATGTGTGAGCCACTGTGCCCGGCCCTTAAATTCTATTTCTTAAAAAGAGTCCGTTCAAGATTGATATTATAGATACTCCTCAACTTACAATTGTCTTATGTCTGAATGAACTCATCCTAAATTGAAAATATTGTAAGTCTAAAACGCATTTAATATATTTAACCTACTGAATATCATGACTTAGACTCGCCTACCTTAAACTTGCTCAGAACACTTACATTATCCTACAATTGGGCAAAATCATCTACCACAAGGCCCATTTTAAAATATTCAGTATCTCATGAAATTTATTGAAAACTATACTGATAGTGAAAAACTGGTCATATTGATGCTCATCATTAATGTACACAGATGAAAGCACCATTATCAAGTCAGAAGAGCACAAGTCAAACCACTGTAAGTTGAGGACTCTCTGTACTTTCTTAAATGTTTGATAGAATTCACCTAAGAAAGCATGTAGCCTGTAATTATAGAAATATTTTTAAATTAAAAAAAAATCTTCAATACTTAGAGAAGCTATTACTTTTTCTATTTCATTTTGCATCAGTTTTAAGAATTAGTTTTACAAATAATTTCCCATGTTATTTTAATTGTCAAATGTATTGGCCTAAAGTTTTCATAATTATATTGATGTCTGTAGGTTCTGTAGTTACATCCTCTATTTAATTCCCATTATCTACATTATGTAGCTTCTCTAATTTTTTTCGAGATAAATCTTGCTAGCCATTGTTTATTAAAAATTTTTTTTTCAAATAACCAATTTGTGGGTATATTAATTAGCTCCACCTTTTGTTATTTGCTATGTTGTTGGTTTACATTTTTATCTTTATCATCTTCCTTCTTCTTAATTTGGATATACTTTGCTCATTTTTTAGCCTCTTAAAAAAGAACCTAAAGGTCATTGATTGAAGCCTTTTATTTTCAATATATTACATGTATAAATGTACCTTTAAGAAACGATTTATCTGCATCCCACATTTTATTAAGTTCTTAAAAATTTTTCTTTCACTTTAAACTATTTTTTTTGTGTGTGAAACTTTTCTTGGCCAATGGGTTTTTCTGAAGTATTTTGTTTAATGTTCAAATGTTGGGGTGTTATTGTACATATCCTACTGTTGTCCATCTCTGGTTCATGATACAATGCATGTTCTCCATTGCACTTAGATAACATGCCTCCATGTCTCTGGAGAATTCCTCAGTCTTTCTAAAATGCTTTTGATGAATACTGGCAGTTATTTTGTAGAATGTCCCTCCTCAATTTCAGTTAGTCTGATGTTTTCTCACGGTTAGGACTAAAGTTATACATTTTGTCTAAGAATACCATAGAATTGATGTTTTGTCCTACTCAGTGCATCATATAAGAAGTTACATGAAGTTCATTTATCTTATTATTAGTAATGTTAACTTTGATCACTTGGGTAAGTTGACATCTCCACTTTGAAGTTATTATTCTATAATTATCTTGTGGGAAGATACTTTCATATTATGCAAATATGTTCTTTCCCAACATATATTCACCACTAATCTTAGCATCCCTCCAAGGTTCTTTCTTGCAACAATTATTACTATGATATTTGCAAAGTGATGATTCTTATATTTAATGTCTCCTACATTTAATGAAATCTTACTGTAATAAAATACTACCCATTCTCAATCTTTGGTTTATTATTTATGTCAATATGGATTTTTTTTTTTTTGAGTTGGAGTCTGTTTTGTCATCCAGGCTGGTGTGCAATGGTGCGATTTCCACTCACTGCACTTCCACCTTCCGGGATTCAAGCCATTCTCCTGCCTCAGCCTCCAGAGTAGCTGGGACTACAGACATGTGCCACCATGCTCGGCTAATTTTTGTATTTTTAGTGAAGGCAGGGATTCACCACATTGGTCAGGCTGGTCTCGAACTCCTGACCTCAAGTGACCTGCCCGCCTCTGCCTCCCAAAGTGCTGGGAATACAGGCATGAGCCACCGCACCCGGCCTGGATTAATTGAAAATTTTCTTCTGTAGATTGTAATATATTACTATTGTTATCTATTTTATTGCCCCAATTTTCTCAAATTGGGCTATGGAAGTTTATTCAAAGTGGATCTGTTTCCCTTTCACATCTTCTCCATTTTGTGAGCATTTCCTTACTTCCTAACATGACAAAATATTTCAAACTAATCTTGTATTTTCCCTGCCCAATCCTGATATCAAATATGTCCCCAAGGAGCCTTGGTTCCTTTAATTGGAGAATGGTGTTCTCATTGTTACTGGGATGATGTTGTTTCTAGACCCTTTTGTTAGAGGAGCTAGAAAATATATGTATGTATACTCACACATTTATACACATCTGTACTTATTTATACAATTATCCATCTGTACGTATACTAAAAACAATGATTTCATGAAGCTTTTGATCCCAATCCAACACTAGATAAAGACTATATAGGCCCATTTATTTGCAAATCAGCACATAAACATAGAAGAATTATTAACAATATAAGCTGTAGCTTATGCTAAATGTTGGTTGGAACAGACAATAAGTTATGGAGAACTTCAGAGGACACTAAGGTTGGATGGGATTTTGGAAGTTGTGCAGGTCAATGCCACTCCATCTATTGGCTGAGATTCACTAGGTTAATACATGAACAACAACAAAAATAATCTAGATCAGAAGTTAAAGATCATTTTATTGACTATCTGCCGTGTCTGTGCCATTGCAGTGTACTAGGTGCACTTACGAGTCCTCTACTTACAAACTGCTTTTCACAAAATAAGAAACTCCAGGCAAAGGTTCAGACATACGATGTTTGTTTTTAAAATCTTTCTACAGCCTTGGATCCTTTTTCCTTTCCTTCCTTTTACCCTTTTTAAAATGTGTTATGAGTTTTATCTTAGACTAACATCATCTGTAATGTTGCTATACGCCAGTATTCAGTTGCTGTGTTTGATGAATCATAAAATGGTGTAAAACTTCAATTAGTGTACTTTTTAAATAAAGTATCTATGAATGCATCCAGCAAAATGTTTATGATTTGAGTATTCACAAAATATTACTTTTCTCTGGATCTAACAATAATGTGAAAACCCAAAATGAATATAAAATATTAGCTAATAATAGATTTCAAAGTATTCTACAAGTATGAAAAATATATGATATTGTTACTTTCATATATGTAAAACATTAATCATTTTTGTCAACATAAACATCATCTTTACACCTAAACTTGTATTAATTCAATTAAGAGTTAATATAGTATCCTAAAGTCATCAAATATTCAAAAATAGGATGTATTCTGACTTGGAATATACATAAAATTAACTATTTTCAGCTGAGCAGAGTGGCTCATGCCTGTAATTCCAGCACTTTGGGAGGCTGAGGTAGGCAGATTGCTTGAGACCAGGAGTTTCAGACCAGCCTGGCCAACATGGTGAAACCCTGTCTCTACCAAAAATACAAGTTAGCCAGGCATGGTGGAACCTGCCTGTAATCCCAACTACTCTGAAGGCTGAGGCAGGAGAATCACTTGAACCCAGGAGGCAGAGGATGCAGTGAGCCAAGATTGCGCCACTGCACTCCAGCCTGGGTGACAGAGTGAGGCTCCATATCAAAATAATAATAATAATAAGAGTAATAATAATAATAACTATTTTCTGTGAGTCCAAAGATAAAATAGCATTACAGAATACCTAATAATCCTGAGTTTGGTTTTCTTGGTTTTATTTTTTCATTTAGTTTTGTTCACTTTGACCAGTGGGCTGGTGGTTCTTAGGTGCACCAAGGTTTTCATTTTTCAGTTCAAGATTTTAAAACCTTAATGTGGTAATTTCTCTAATTTTTTTGACAGTTACGTCCCAGGTTGCAAGTTAAAATAAAATTCCCATTTTACTAAAGTCCTTGGTTTATTAATGATTTTATAATGACTTAATATATAATTTAATGAGTAATGAGGGGTACTACATTTCAGAAATCAACACTGAAGAACTTATTCATGGAACCAAACACCACCTGTTTCTCAAACACCTATTAAAATAAAAATACATATAAATAATTTTTTAAAATAAACACTAAAAATAAAGTGAAAATGAAAAAATATATATCCAGGTTAAAAAAAAACTACTTCAGTTAAACAATAAATACTTTTTGAGGGGACTCAACTCTACTACAAAATTATTCGTTGTTTATTATAATCAATAATACAGGTAAAAGAATAAGTTTTTAAAAATGGAAAAATTGTAAAAAATAAAACAATATTAACAAATATTGATATACTGGTGAAGGCCGGGCTCAGTGGCTGCTTTCCAAAGTGGTTACACCAGTCGGGCATGGTGGCACACACCTGTAATCTCAGCACTTCCGGAAGCTGAAGCAGGCAGATCACTTGAGCTCAGGAGTTTGACACAAACCTGGGCTACATGACAACACCCCATTTCTACCAAAAACTGTAAAAATCAGCTGCACATGATAGCATGCACCTGTAAGTCCCAGCTACTTAGGAGGCTGAGGTGAGAGGATCACTTGTGCCTGGAAGGTCACAGCTGCACTGGCCATGTTCATGTCACTGCACTCCAGCCTGGGCAACAGAGCAAGATTTTGTCTCAAAAAAAAAAGTTGGTGACAATTGGAATAATTGGAACTCACATACATTACTGGTGGGAACATAAAATGGTGTAATCAATTTGGGTGTTTTCTTGGCATTTGATTTTTTTAAAAAATCAAGACATTGTTTCCCTATGTTGCCCAGGGTTGTCCTGAACTCCCAAGCTAAGAAAATCCTCCAAACTCAGTGTCTCAAATACCTGAGATTAAAGGTGTGAGCCACTGTGCCTGACCAGTGTAACCACTTTGAAAAACAACGTGGCAGTTTCTCAAAGACTAAATGTATAGTAATCACATAATGTGACAATTTCACTCCTGAGTGTAAATCCAAGAGAAATAAAAATATATGTTCACACTAAAACTTATGTACGAGTGTTCATAGCAGCCTGACTCATGATGGTGAATACGCAAAAACAACACAAATGTCCATCAACTAATGAATGGATAAACATAAACTATTACTCAGCTACAAAAGGAAAGAAATCCTGGTACACACTATAACATGAAAGAAATTTGAAAATATTCTGCTAAGAGAAAAAAAGCAAATTACAAAAGATCACACATTGTACAATTCTATTTCTATAAAAGGTCCAGATTAGGCAAAACTACAATGACAGAAAATAAATCAGTGGTTGCCTATGAATATAGGGTACGTAGGAGGTAGTGGCTAAGAGGTGAGGGTTTCTCACTCATAAGTGGGTAACTTACAAGTGGGTAATCACTTCTAAGAAAGACTGTGGTGATGAATGCACAGCTCCTTGAATATTCTAAAAACCACTCAATTGTATACTTTCTTTTTTTCTTTAGTTATTTAAAGACAGGGTCTCCTTTTGTCACCCATGCTGTAGTGCAGTGGTGCCATCTGGTCTCACTGCAACCTATGGCTTCTGGGCTCAAGTGATCTTCCAGTCTCATGTCCCCAAGTAGTTGGGACTACAGGCATGAGCCACCACACCCAGCTAATTTTTGTATTTTTGCTAGAGATGCTGTTTTGCCATGTTGCCCAGGCTAGTCGCAAACTCCTGAACACAAGCGATCCACCTGCCTCAGCTGCCCAAAGTCTTAGCGTTATAGGAATTAGCCACTGCACCTGGCCTGAATTGCGTACTTTGATAAATGAATTGCATGATACGTTAATCATATTTCAATAACGTTATTATTTTAAAAATGGCTGGGCATGGCGTGGTGACTCACGCCTCTGATCTCAGCACACTGGGAGGCCAAGGTGGGTGGATTGCCTGATTTCAGGAGTTTGAGACCAGTCTGGCCAACATACTGAAACTCTGTCTCTACTAAAAATACAAAAATATTAGCTGAGAGTGGTGACATGGGTCTGTAATTCCAGCTAGTTGCGAGGCTGAGGCAGGGGAGTTGCTTGAACCAGGGAGGTGGAGGTTGCAGTCAGCTGAGATCACACCACTGCATTCCAGCCTGCATGACAGAGTGAGAGTCCGTCTCCAAAAGAAAGAAAGAAAAAGAAAATGGGCATTGAACACAGGTGGCTCCCACCTACATATAATCCAAACACTTTGGGAAGCTGAGGCAGAATGATCACTTGAGGCCAGGAGTCTGACAACATCCTGAGCAACACAGCAAGATCCCATCTGTACAATAAAAAATAAAGAAGTTAGCTGGGCATAGGGGCAAATGTATGTAGTCCCAGCTACTTGGGAGGCTGAGGTGGGAGGACTGTTTGAGTCCGGGGTTTCAGGCTGCAGTGAACCATGATCATGCCACCGCACTGCAGCCTGGGTGACAGAACAAAACCCTGTCTCTAGAAAGAAAAAAAAAAGAAATCCAAGTTTTTATCACCTTCTGAGAGTAATCAACATTCAGGAGGAACAGAGAAGAACAAAATACCACTGAATGGTTGAGGGTGGGTTGCTGGTTAGGTTCAGTGGCCAGCTGAGTAGTATCTGAAAAATTCATTAGTAAATTATGGCACTAGGGGTGAGTCATGCAGTCGAAGGATGAATACTAAATCCAGTACAAACACCCATGGTCTTTCTTTACATGAATTCCAGTGAAAAATTTCTAAGTGCCTAAAATAGCAAGTGGTCTGAAATGATGGCAGCAGTTTATTAAAGACTGAAAAAAGAGGCCAGGCACGGTGGCTCACACCTGTAATCCCAGCACTTTAGGAGACCAAGGCCAGTGGATCACAAGGTCAGGAGTTCAAGACCAGCCTGTCCAACATGCTGAAACCCCGTATCTACAGAAAATACAAAGCTTAGCCGGGCATAGTGACATGTGCCTGTATTCCCAGCTACTTCAGAGGCTGAGGCAAAAGAAATGCTTGAACCCGGGAGGCAGAAGTTGCTGTGAATTGAGATTGTGCCACTGCACTCGAGCCTGGTGACAGAGGAAGATGCTGTCTCAAAAAAAAAAAAAAAAAAAAAGAATTGGCATCTTCAAGAACCACAAGAGAGTTCCACGCTGAAGAAGCTCTGACTCTGCATTTGCTGAAATACTGATTTGAGTTAGCCAATATAACACTATCTTAGACAAAGTGTACAAACAACTCAATTTCATCTCCTCATTAATAACTGATTGGTCTAGTATCAATTCTGATTTTTAAAAAACTAATTAGAAAAAGAATTAATTATAGAACCAATAAGAGGTTTGAATAGTTACAAGCTATTCAAAGGAGAATTCAAAAAACCACTCAGGTATGAGGCCATAAAGTATGATGAAATAAATTTCCTTAATATATTTTAAAATAAACTGATTAGACAGGCAACAACACCTGGGCACGGGTCTCCTCATCTCCAGCAACACAAACCCAATCACGCAGCTATGGGGTTGCAAAGGCTGCATAGTGACAAACAGACTGCTCTGAGCTGAGATTTCTTTACTTGTATCTGTATTCTGAGACCGGGTCTCACTCTGTCACTCTGGCTGCAATGCAGGGGTGCACTCATAGCTAACTGCAGCCGTGACCTCCTGGGCTCTGGAGATCCTCCTGCCTCACCCTCACCATAGCTACAGCTACAGATGAACACCAAAACACCCAGCTAATTTTTTTTTTTTTGTAGAAAGAGGAGCCTTGTTATGTTGACCAAGCTGGCCTCAAACTCCCGCCCTCAAGAGATCTGCCCACCTCAACAACCTAAGTAACAGGTTCTACAGGAAAATACCACTATGCCGGGATAATTATATTTTAATAATTTTTATTTGCATAGACAGGAGGTCTTGCTGTGTTGCCCAGGGTGGTCTCAAACTCCTGGACTCAAACCATTCTCCCATCTCTGCCTCCCAAAGTGCTGAAGCTACAGGCATAAGCCACTGCACCTGGCCCGACTTAAGATTTCTGTAATCTAGCATCCCATACTTCATATAATTGGGAAAAGCAGTAGTGGTTTTTTTTTTAATTACTTAGTATTTCAACAAGAATCAACCATCTCTCACCATTGCCAGGGCCCTGGTCAGAACCACTATCATCTCCCACCTGGAGGTTGCCACAGCATGGCCTCCCTGCTTCTACGCAAATCTTCCCACAATCTTTCTCAACTCAGCTGCCATGGGATGCTTTTAAATCAGTAGACAGTTCGTGTCACCTCTCTGCTCAGAACCCTTCTGCTTCTCCCATCTCAGACAGAATAAAAACCAAAGCCCCAGCAATAGCCTCCCAGGGCTTACACAATCTGTACTGATCTGAGTCCAACAACTCCCTGGCCTCCTTCCCTACTTCTCTCCCTCTCTCTACTCCACAGACCTCTTTCCTGAGCTTCAGACACACCACGGAGTTCCCTCTTAGCATCTTTATTCTGTTGTTTCTGCCTACAATGCTCTTCCCTCAGTACCTTGGCCAGCTCCTTCCCCTCCTTCAAGTCTTTGCTCAATTTTCACTTAGGAGGCCAACCCTGACCACTCTATTTAATATTGCTATCTGTCCCTATTCCTGCCATGCTCACTCATTTCTTTTTTCTTTTTTTTTCTAAGATATAATCTCGCTGTGTCACTCAGACTGGGGTGCCATGGCACGATCACAACGCACTGAGACCTGGAGCACCTAGGTCAAGAAATTGTCCTGCCTCAGGGCCTCTAGTAGCTAAGACTACAAGTGCATGCCACCACACCCGCTATTTTTTTTTTCCATGTCGACAGGGTATTATTTTGTTGCCCAGACTTACCGTGAACTCCTGGGCCAAAGCAACCATCCTGCCTCAGCCTCCTAAATAGCTGGAATTATAGGTGTGGGCCACCAATTCTGGCTTCATGTTCATTTCTTCTTGCCGCTGTTACAAACTACCCTACATTGAGTGGCTTAATACACCACAAATCTACTAACTAAGAAGTCTGGGGGCCAGAAGTCCAAAATAGGTCTATTAAGGCTAAAGTCAAGGTGCCAGCAGGACTGCATCCCTTCTGGAGGTTCTGGAGAGAATATGTTCCCTTGCCTTTCCCAGTTGCTAAAGCCACTCCTATTCTTTGGCTCATGGCCCCTAACTGCATCTTCAAAGCCAGAAGCAAAGCATATTCGAATCTCCCTCTGTGACCTGTGCTTCCATCATCAAATCTCCTTCAATTCGGACTCTCTTACCTCCCTCTTTCACTTATAAAGACCTCTTGTGATTGCTGGACACAGAGGCCGTGGCTCACAACCATAATCCCAACAGTTTAGGAGGTCAAAGCAGGAGAAACGTTTGAGGCCAAAACTTCAGGACCAGCCTGGGAAACACAGCGAGACCCCCTCAATTAAACAACAAAAAGAAATAAGAAAAAATTAGCTGGGCATGGTAGTATGCATCTGTAGTTTCAGCTACTTGAGAGGTTGTGGTGAATGGATCGCTTTAGCCCCAGAGTTCAAGACTAGCCTCGGCAATATAACAAGATCCCACCTCTACAAAAAAAATACAAAAATTAGCTGGGCATGGATGGTGTGCACCTGTAGTCCCAGATGCTTGGAAGGCTGAGGTGGGAGAATTGCTTGAGCACAGGTGGTTGAGGCTGCAGTTAGCTACAACAACATCACTGCACTCCAGATTGGGTGAAACAGAGACTCTGTGTTCAAAAGAAAAAGAAAAGAAATACACATTTGGTTTCTGCCCCTCATCCTGGCACAGAGCTTCTCAAGCTCTTATAAAGGCCTTGGTGATGAAGGTGATGGGGCATCTTCTGTTTCAATATTTGGTCTTAGTCCCAGGTTTCTAACACAAGAGCCTCTAAGACCTTTGGGATCACCATAGTAAGAATGCATTTGGTGATGTTACTGAGATGACTGGGTGACTGAAAACTCCTAGACAGCTTCAGAAAAAGGGGTGGTTGTTGTCAGAAGAACAAACCATGTGATTAGAGGCTTGGAACTGTCAGCCTCACCCCCTGGGCTCCAGGAAGAAATAGTGGCCGAAGACTGACTTAATCACCAATGGTCAATGACTTCATCAATCTTGCCTGCATAATGAAGCGTTCATAAGCGCCCTCAACAACTGGAGTTGGAGAATGTCTGGGTTGCTGAACACAAGGGAGATACCAGGAAGGTAACATGCACAATAGAGGACATGGAAGTTCTGTACCCCTTTCGACATACCTTGCCCTGTGGGTTTTTTTTTTTTTTGAGACAGAGTCTGGCTCTGTCTCCCAGCCTAGAGTGCCATGGCACAATCGTGGCTCACTGCGAACTATGCCTCCCTATCTCAAGCCCCATCCTCTCATCCTCTCACCTCAGCCTCCTGAGTAGCTAGAATTATAGGCACTGAGTAGCTAGAACTATAGATAACTGTGCCTGGCTAATTTTTAGAAAAATCTTTTTGTAGAGATGCATTTTCACCTTGTTACCCAGGCTGGTCTTAATCTCCTGAGCACTTAAGCGATGCTCCCGCCTCAGTCTCCCAAAGTGCTGAAATTACAGGCATGAGCCACTGTGCCCAGCATGTACATCTCTTTCACTGGCTGTTTCTGAGATTTAGCCTTTAAAATGAACCAGTAAAAGAAAGTAAATTGGTGAGATGCAGTGGTTCATGCCCATAATCCCAGCATTTTGTGAAGTTGAGGTGGGAGGATCACGTGAGCCCAGAAATTTGAGACCAGCCTGGGCAACATAACAAGACCCCATCTCTACAAAAAGTAAAAGAACATAGCCAGATATGCTGGTACAGGCCTATAATCTCAGCTATTTGGGAGGCTGAGGTGGGAGGATCACTTGAACCCTGGAGTCCCATGCTACAGTGAGCTTTGATCACACCACTGCATTCCAGCCTGGCAACAGACTTAGACCCTGTATCTCAGGAAAAAAAGAAAACAATCTGTTTTTCTGAGTTCTGCAAGCGGTCCGAGCAAATGATTCCACCCACCAATGGGGGTCATGAAACCCTGTTTTCTAACTGGTTGGTCAAAACTACATGTAACAACCCAAGACTTGCAATTGGCATGTGGAGTGAGGGTAGACTCCTGGGACTGAGCTCCCATCCTGCGGGGTCTGCACTAACTCCAGGGAGTGTCAGGATGGAATTGTGGGATACCCAGTTGGGATCCAGATTGTCTGAAAATCAGTGTAGAAACTCCACATGCACATTTGGTCAGAGGTGTTTGATCGTAACTACTATTCACGAAAAAGGTCTACTCATTAGAACTAAAAATCACAAAATTGTAAGTTCTACGAAAACAAATCAACCTTATCTACCGCCCAGTCCTACCGAACTACAGAATGTGAGAACAGAAGGTCTGACCATGGAGGCGAGAGCTGACAGGAATGTCACCACCATCCTGCTCTCCAAGGACTCCTCATCTTCAACAGACTCCTCATCTTCAATGGGCAGGGTGGAACCTGCAACTTGTGTCATGATCCTTGCACAGGAAAAGTAGTAAGAAAATGAGTGGTAGAAATCCAGTGTCCTAAACTCACATCCAGAGCTGTGAGAGTTTTTTACTGGCTGGATAATTCACAGTTTTCTTGAATCAGGGGAAAAATAAGACTCAGAAACTAGGAATTCGTTTTGCCCAAAACTCTCATCAGATACAGAATCCATCCGCTAACTATCTAGTATTATTTCCATAAGTTAGATCAATTATCACTCCCAAAACAAATGCACATGACACCCAGAATCTGTGCATTTCTCCCAAGTAAAAGAGGAGGTGGACGGGTGCAGTGTCTCATGCCTTTAACCCCAGCACTTTGGGGGGCCAAGGTGGGTGAATCACCTGAAGTCAGGAGTTCAAGACCAGCCTGGCCAACATGGTGATACCCTTTCTCTACTAAAAATAAAAAAAAGTTAGCCAGGTGTGGTGGCATGTGCCTGTAGTCCCAGCCTCCTGGGAGGCTGAGGCAGGAGAATCACTTGAACCCAGGAGGCTGAGGTTGCAGTGAGCAGAGATCGCACCACTGCACCTCAGCCTGGACGACAGAGTGAGATTCTGTCTCAAAAAAAAAGGAGGGGAGGAAAGGAGGCAAGGCACTTTACAACCCAGTGATGGGCTACCACAACTCAGCACAGCAAAGAGTTGCCAAGCTCCCTTTCTCTCCTGCACAACCCGACACAGAAGAGTTGGTGCAGTGGAATGAGGCTGGATGGAGAGAAGTTCCTCTTCTTTCTTTCCTTTTTTTTTTTTTTTGAGATGAACTCTCGCTCTGTCACACAGGCTGGGGTGCAGTGGTGCAATCTCGGTCACTGTAACCTCTGCCTTATGGGTTTAATCAATTCTCTGCCTCAGCCTTCCGAATACCTGGGATTAGAGGCACCCCCCACCACACCCAGCTATTTTTTTTTTTTTTTTTAGTGGAGACTGGGTTTCACTATGTTGGCCAGGCTGGTCTTGAACTCCTGACCTTAGGTGATCTACCCACCTCGGCCTCCAAAAGTGCTAGGATTACAGGCATGAGACGCTGTGCCCAGCCAAGAAGTTCCTCTTCTTACTTAGAAAACAGATCACAGGGCATCAAGTAACACGTAAAATCCTTTATAATAAGCAGTATTATTTTTGGAAAACCTTTCCTAATATTTTGGTATCAGCAAAAAGCCTTAGATTAATTTCAAACACTATAAAAATACAATACATAAACAGAAAATATTAACTGTCAGCAATGCTATAGAGAAATTGGAAGCTGTATGCATTGCTTTTTGGAATGTAAAATGGTACAGCCCACTGTGGAAAATGGTTTAGCAGCTCCTTAAAAATATGAAGCATAGAATTATATGATCCATCAACACCCTTTAAGCGTATATACCCAAAAGAACTGAGAGCAGGGACTCAAACAGGTATTTGTACACCCGATTAACAGCAGCATTATTCACAGTGGCCAAAAGGTCGCCCAAACCTAATGCCCATCAGTAGGTGAATAGATAAAGAAAATGTAATATATACATACACAGAGTATTATTCAGCCATAAAAAGAAAAATATCTGGCCAGATTCAGGGGCTTACACCTGTAATCCCAGTATTTTGGGAGGCCAAGGTGGGCAGGTCTCTTGAGCCCCATATTTTGAGACCAGACTGGACAACATGGCACATTTGGTTAGAAGTGTTTGACCATAACTACTATTCCAGAAAAAGATCTACTCATTAGAACTACAAATCATAAAATTATAAGTTCTACAAAAACAAATCAACCTTATCTACCACCCAGTTCTACCCAATTATATCATGTTAGAACAGAAGGTCTCACCGTGGACTCGAGAGCTGATATGAGAAATGTTACCACCATCCTGCTCTCCACGGAATCATCTTCAACAGACTCCTCATCTTCAATGGACTACTCATCTTCCATGGACTCCTCATCTTCCATTGGCAGGGTGGAAACTGCAACTTGTGCCATGATCCCTGTGCAAAAAAGTAGTAAGAAATTGAATGGTAGAAATGCAGTGTCCTAAACTCACATCCAGAGCTGTGAGAGTTTCTCACCGGCTGCCAAATTGTTTTTTGGGTCAGAGAAAAAAATAAAACTTGGTAACCTGGTACTCGACTTGCCCCAAACTCTCATCAGATAGAGAATCTATCCGCTAACTTTCTATCTAGTATTATTTCCATGAAGTTACATCAATATCACTCCCAAAATAAATCCAGGTGGAAGACTAAATCCAAAGCTAGCAGAAGGAAAGAAATAATAAAGAGCATAATTAGAGCATAAATCAATAAAATAGAAGGTTGGAGAGCAGTAGAATGAAAAAATGTAGATTCTTTGAAAGATCAAGCCTTTCACTATATTGACTGAGCAAAAGATGGGAGACTAATTATTAAAATAATAAATGAAAGCAGAGCCATTACTACCAACTTTACAGAAATAAAAAAGGATTACAGGAGTATACTGTGAACAACTGTCTAGCAACAAATTAGGTGCCCTGGATGAAATGGATGAATCGCTAGAAAGACACAAACTACCAAAGTGGCTCAAGAAGAAAGAGAAAATCTGAATAGACCTATAACCTAGGAGATTGAATTAGTAATCGAAAGCGATTAACAAAGAAACATGTATGACCAAATAGCTGCATTAACTGGTGAGTCAACCTAACATTTAAAGAAGAATTAATACCATTTCTTCTCAAACTCTTCTGACAAAATATATGAAGAAGGAATACTTGCTAATTCATTTTTTGATAACAGCATTATCCTTATACCAAAGACAAAGAGAGCACAAAAGAGAGAAATACAGCACTATATCCCCTATGAATATATAAGCAAAAATCTCAGCAAAATACTAGCAATACTAGCAAAATACTAGCAGCACTACTGTATAATCAAAGGATTGTAAACTATCAACCTTTGAGATTTATCCCCAAAATGCAAGGGTGGTTCAACATATAAAAAATCAATCAGTGTAATATGCTGTAACAGTAAAATGAATAAGCACGTGATTATTTCAATTGATGCAGAGAAAACATTGATGAAATACAACACCCTTCTATAATAAAAATACTCAATAAACTAGGCATAGAAGGGATCTTCTGCAACATGACAATGGGATGTACAAAAACCCAACAGTTAATATCATGATCAATGATGAAACACTGAAAGCTGTTTTCCTAACATCTAGAAGAAAAGGATGGTGCATTTGCCACTTGTATTCAACGTAGCACTGGCAGTTCTAGCCAGAGCAATTAGGCAAGACAAAGAAATAAAAGGCATCTAAATTAGAAATAAAAAATAGGTGTAAAATTATATCTACACATGATCTTATGGGTATAAAGCTCCAAACAAAACACAAAACCGATTATAACTAATAAAAGAGGCAGGATGCAAACAAACATAGGCAAATGAGCTATATTTCTATATAGTTGTAAAGAACTATGAAAACATTTTAAAAATTCCATTTATAATGACATCAAAGAATACGTTATTCAGGCATAAATCTAACCATGGTGGTGTACACAAAACATTGCTGCAAAAAACTAAAGAGAGTGGAAATAAGTGGAAAGACATTCTGTGTTCACGGGTTGTAAGACAATATTGTTAAGATGACAATACCATCTAAAGTAATCTACAGATTCAATGCAATACCATCAAAATCCCAAAGGCATTTTTGCAGAAACAAAGAAACTCATTCTAAAATCATACAAAAATTCAAAGGATCTGACAGACAAAACAGTCTTGAAAAAGAACATTGGAAAACTCACATTTTTCAGTTTCACAGCCTACTACAAATCTACAGTAATCAAGAGAGTGTGGTACTGGAATAAGGCCAATAGGCTTTCAGACCAATACAACAGAACAGATTTGAGATACTACAAGTTAGTCCTCACATATATGGTCAATGACTGTTCAACAAGGTGGCCAAGTCTAGTCAAGGGAGGAAAGAACAGTCTCTTCAACAGCTGGATGTCAGTGCACAAGAGAGAAGTTAGACCCCTACCTTGCAGTATATACAAAAATTAATTCTAAATTAATAAAAGACTTAAATGTAAGGACTAAAAATATGTAACTCTTAGAAGAAAACACACGGTAAACCTTTATGACCTTTGAGTTTTAAGTGTATTTTGAAATGTGACAGAAAAGCACAGATAACAAAAGAAAATACAGGAAAATTAGATTGAATCAAAATAAAAAACCCTTTATGCATCAAAGGATACTATCAAGGGAGTGAAAAGACAACCCATAATATGTGAGAAAATATGTATCTGATAAAATCAAAATGTGTATCTGATAAAAGCTTAATATCCCACAACTCAACAACAGAATTTCTAAGATCCCAATTAAAAAATAGTCAAAGGACTTGAACAGACATTTCTCCAAAGAAGATACACAAATGTCTAAGAAGGAAAAGAAAAGATGCTAAACACCATTATTCATTAATAAAATGCAAGGTAAAACCCAAATGAGATGCCACTTTGCATCCACTAGTAAGGCTTTCATAACAACGACACAGAAAATCAATGTTGCTAAGGAGGTGGAGAAACTGGAGCCCTCATGAACTGGCTGCTAGGAATAGAAAATGATGCACTTGCTGTGGAAAAGAGTTTGGTGGTTCCTCAAAGAATCACACAGAGAAACAGGCTCCGCTGGCTTGCGGGTTCTCCTGGGCTGGCGCGGGACGTCCCGGAATGGCAGGCGCACATTCCTTCCCGCCTGAGGGCCCGCCTGGCCGTGACTCCCGCCCCTCTCCTCCTCCGAAGAGAGATCGGGGCCACCCCAGGGGCCGTCTGCAGCCACCGGGGATGGTGCTGAGGGTCGGTTCCTGCCCCGGTGCAGCCGCCCCTGGGCAGACCGCCTGGCTTGGTCGCAGCCACGGCGACATCTAGCCCCGGTTCTGCGAGGCTGGGAGCGCCAGCCAGCTTGGGAGTCGCCCGGCGCCTGTAGCTGGGCGCCCAGGTGGTGGAGCATGCCCTGGGCAGCCTCTGGATCGCGGGTGCCCCTGGCCTGAGAGCCTGCCAGACCCTGTCCCGGCCCGGCTCCTCCTCTGTCAGAACTCCACATCTCTATCCAGGGGCCCTCTGCAGCCACAGGGGATGGGGCTGAGGGCCGGTTCCCGCCCCTGTGCAGCTGCTGCAGGGACAGACCGCCTGGCTTGGCCACAGCCACAGGGACATTTGGCCCTGCTTCCGAGATGTGGGGAGTGTGGGCGGGCTCGGGAGTTGCCTGGAGGCTGCTGCCTGCACGCAGAAGGTGGCTGCAGCTCGGGTGCCCAGGCGGGCTGGAGGTGCATGGCCTGGTCGGCCTTGGGATCACCAGCGCGCCCAGCGTGAGGGCCCCCAGGCCGTGCCTCCCGACCACTCCTCCACCTGAGGGAGATCGGAGCCATTTGTATGGGCACTCGGCAGTCACCTCGTGTGGGGTTGAGCGGTGGCTTCTCAGTTCTCGCTCCTGTGCAGCTGCTGCAGCAGGGCAGAATGCCTGGCTTGGCTGCAGCCACTGGGACACGTGGCCCTGCTTCTATGATGCTAGGAGCGCGAGCGGGCTCGGGGGTTGCCAGGCAGCTGCTGCCTGCACACAGAGGGCGACGGCAGCTTGGGCGCCCAGATGGCACAGCATGGTTTGGGTGGCCTCTGGAATGCGTGCGCGCCAGGCCTGAGGGTCACCCTGGTGGGGCCACATACCCCGGTCTTCCTCTGCTGGAGCCTGGAGCAGCTGGAATGGCCACTATTCCGTCACAGGGGATAGAGTTAAGTTTTCTTATCCCACCCATGCACACAAAAAGGTGACTATTCTGTGAGGTAATAAACGTGTTAATTGACTTCATTCATGCCACTCTGCATCCACAAGTAAGGCTTTCATAACAATGACACAGAAAATAAATGTTGCTAAGGAGGTGGAGAAGTTGGAGCCCTCATGATCTGGCTGCTAGGAATAGAAAATGATGCCCTTGCTGCGGAAAACAATTTGTTGTTCCTCACAGAATGAGCATTGGGTGAAAAATGAAATCAAGATGGAAATGTAAAAAATTTCTTCGAACTGGATGACATAACCTATCAAGACCTCTGGGATACAGCAAAGGCACTGCTAAGAGCAAAGTTTGTAGTCCTAAAAACCTACATCAAAAAGTCTGAAAGAGCACAAACAGACAATCTAAGTTCACATCTCAGGGAACTAGAGAAGCAGGAACAAGCCAAACCCAATCCCAGCAAACACAGGAAATAACAAAGATCAGAGCACAACTAAATGAAATTGACACAACAACAACAACAACAAATACAAAACATAAATAAAACAAAAAGTTGGTTATTTGAAAAGATAAATAAAATTGATAGACCATTAGCAAAATTAACCCAGAAAAGAAGAGAGAAAATCCAAATAACCTCACTAAGAAATGAAACAGGGGATCTTACAACTGACACCACTGAAATATTAAAGATTATTCAAGGGTACTATGAACACCTTTTGGCACATAAACTACAAAACCTAGAAGAGTTGGATAAATTCCTGGAAAAATACAACTCTCCTAGCTTAAATCAGGAAGAATTAGATACCCCAAGCAGACCAATAAAGCAAGCAGCAAGATTGAAATGGTAATTTTAAAATTACCAGCAAAAAAAGCCGAGGGCCAGACAGATTCACAGCAGAATTCTACCAGACATTCAAAGAATGTCTTCTTTCATTCAAGGAAGAAATGATACCAATCTTTTCATACTATTCCACAAGACAGAGAAAGAAGAAACCCTCCCTTATTCATTCTATGAAGCCAGAGTCACCCTAATACCAAAACCATGGAAGGACATAACCAAAAAAGAAAACTACAGACCAATATCCTTGATGAACGCAGATGCCAAAATCCTTAACAAAATACTATCTAACTGAATCCGACAACATATCAAAAAATAATCCACCATGATCAAGTGGGTTTTATACCAATGATATAGGAGTGGTTTCACATATGCAAGTCAATAAGTGTGATACACCAAATAAACAGAATTAAAAAAAATTAATATGATTATATCAACAGGTGCAGAAAAAACATTTGACAAAATCTAGCATTGCTTTATGACTAAAGCTCTCAGCAAAATAGGCATACAAGGGACATACCTTAATGTAATAAAAGCCATCTATGACAAACCCACAGCCAACATAATACTGAATGGGGAAACGGTGAAAGCATTCCCTTTGAGAACTGGAACAAGACGAGGAGCCTACTCTCACCACTCCTCTTCAACATAGTACTGGAAGTCCTAGCCAGAGCAATCAGACAAAAGAAGGAAATAGAGGAAATCCAAATCGGTAAACAGGAAGTCAAACTGTCACTTGTTGCTGATGATATAATCTTTTGCCTAGAAAACGCTACGGACTCCTCTAGAAACCTCCTAGAACTGATAAAAGAATTCAGCAAAGTTTCCAGATACAAGATTAATGGACACAAATCAGTAGCTCTTCCATACATCAACAGCTACCAAGCAGAGAATCACATCAAGAACTCAACCCCTTTTACAATAGCTGCGACAAACAACAACAAAAAAACAAAACTTAGGAATATACCTAGCAAAGAAATAAAAGGACAGCTACAATGAAAATTACAAAACACTACTGAAAGAAATCATAGCTGGAGTCAAGCACGGTGGCACATGCCTATAATCCGAGCTACTCGGGAAGCTGAGGCAGGAGAATCGCTTGAACCCGGGAGGCAGAAGTTGTAGTGAGCCGAGATCACACCATTGCACTCACACCTCAGCGACAAGAGCTAAACTCCCTCTGAAAAAAAAAAAAAAAAAAAAAAAACGAAAGAAAATAAGTCATAGATGACACAAACAAATGGAAATGCATCCCCATGCTCATGGATGGGTAGAACCAATATTGTGAAAATTACCATTCTGTTAAAGGCAATCTACAAATTCAATGCAATCCCCGTCTGAAAGCCACCATCATTCTTCACAAAATTACAAAAACAATTCTAAAATTAATATGGAACCAAAAAAGAGCCATGTAACCAAACCAAGCCTAAGCAAAAAGAACCTGGAGGTATCACACTACTTGATTTCAAACTGTACAATAAGGCCATAGCTACCAAAACACCAACGTACTGGTTTAAAAATAGGAACATAGACCAATGGAACAGAAGAGAGAACTCAGAAATTAACCCAAATACTTACAGCCAACTGATCTTCGACAAAGTAAACAAAAACATAAAGTGGAGAAAGACTCCCTTTTCAACACATGATGTTGGGATAATTGGCGAGCCACATGCAGGGGAATAAAACTGGACTCTCATCTCTCATTTTATACAAAAATATACTCAAGATGGATTAAGAACTTAAACCTAATTCCTGAACTATAAAAATTCTAGAAGATAACACTGGATAAACCCTTCTAGACATTGACATACGCAAGGATTTCATGACCAAGAACCCAAATGCAAATGCAATAAAAACAAAGATAAATAGCTGAGACTTAATTAAACTAAACAGCTTTTGCATGGCAAAGGGAACAGTCAGCAGAGTAAATGGACAACTCAAAGAGTGGGACCCCTGAACCTGACCCTGACCCCTGACCCTGATCCCTAACCCCTGACCCTGACCCCTAACCCCTGACCCTAACCCTAACCCCTAACCCTAACCCTTAACCATAAACCCTAAGCCTAACCCCTAACCACAACCCTCACCCTCACACTAATCCAACCCTAACCCCTTATCCCTAACCCCTAACCTCTCCTAACCTCTAACTCTAAACGTTGACTCTTAACTCTTAACTCTGACTCCAACCCCTATCTCCAACCCCAACCCTAAACTTAACCCCTAACCCCTAACCCTAACACCAACCTTAACCCTAGGTTCGTTACTACGTTTGTACTATGCCAATGTTGATTATTATGATCTCTGTCTTAGGACTGCATGGCAGCAAGGGGATTGCGGATCTTATATTAATATTTTTGTATTGAGGCAGTGCATTAGCATTACAGGTGCTTGTTACATGAGCAATGGGGGTGTCATATTTTGGGTGTCATGTCTGCATTAGGAATGCTGCATTTGTCTTCCGAGGCTGCGGTGTGGATCTCGCACTGCGGCCGCCTCGGCTTGGCTGGGGAGAACCTCGGTGGGCAGGATTCAGAGGGGCTTTTGGTTTCCCTTTTCCACACTGAGCCCTTCTAACTGGTCTCTGACCCTGATTATTCAGGGCTGCAAAAGGGAAGGATTTTATTCACCGTCTATGCGGTCCCGAGTTGTCCCAAAGCGAGGCAGTGCCCCAAAGGTCTGTGCTGAGGAGAAGGCTGCTCTGCCTTAGCGGTGTCCCCCGGGTCTGTGCTGAGCAGAACGCGGCTCCGCCCTCGCGGTGCCCCCGGCCCGCCTGGGTCTGTGCTGAGGAGAACACTGCTCCGCCTTCGCTGTATCTCTGAAGTCTGTGCAGAGGAGAACTCAGCTCCGCCCTGGCGATGCTTTCCTTGTCTGTGCTGGGAAGAACGCAGCTCCGCCCTCGCAAAGGAGCACAGCGCCAGCGCAGGTCCAGAGAGGCCCACAGCGCTGGCGAAAGGCGCAGAGAGGCCCACAGTGCTGGCGCAGGCGCAGAGAGGCCCACAGCGCCGGCGCAGGCGCAGAGAGGCAGAAGGCCCATGAGAGGAAGGTGAGACACCTGGGGCAAAGAAGAAAAAAAAATGCGCCGCGAAGCGGTGTCTGGGTCATCCAGGGACGAAAGTTTTTTCCCATCAGCCCTTGCGCTGGGCCCCAGGGACCCTGGCATCCCTGGTTCACGCCCAGGGTGTGCCTCAGGCGACTAGGGGTACCCCAACTTGGACAGAAGGCCCATGAGTGGAAGTTGAAGTTTGTGGGAGGAGAGGTGAGGCAGCAGGGGCAGAAAAAAAAAAAAAGAGGACCGCGTATCAGAGAAGCGGGACCTGGGTTCCCCACGGATGAAAGTGCCTTCCCATTAGGCCCTATGCTGGGCCTGGTGGACCCTGGCGACCCTGGTTCAAGCCCAGGGTGCGCCTCAGGACAGCTTGGGGTACCACAAAGCGAACAAAAGGTCCATGAGGGGAAGGTGAGGCACCTGAGGCAGAGAAAAAAAAACGCTCAGCCGAGAAGCAGTGCCTGGGCCCCCCACGGATGAAAGTGCCATCCCATCAGCCCCTTCCCTGGGCCCTGGGGACCCTGGCGTCCCTGGTTTGACCCTGGGGTACGCCTCGGGACAGTAGGGGTACCCCAAGGTGGGCAGAAAGCCCCTAAGGGGAAGGTGAGGCACCTGGGGCAGAGAAAAAAAGAAAAACTTCGCCGCGGAGAAGCACGGCCTGGGTGCCCCACAGACGAAAGTGTCTTCCCATCAGTCCCTGAACTGGGACCCAGGGACCCTGGTGTCCCTCGTTCAAGCTCAGGGTGTGCCTCGGCCGCCAAGTGCACCCCAAGGGGGGCTTTGGGGACACAAAGCCCGTGAGGGGAAGGTGAGTTTTGAGGGAGGAGAGGTGAGGCACCTGTCACAGAAAAAGAAAAAAAAGAAACCCGTGCCGCGGAAAGGTGTGGCCTGGGTACCCCACGGATGAAAGTGCCTTCCCATCAGGCCCTGCACTGGGCCCCGGGGAATCTAGAGTCCCTGGTTCGAGCTCAGGGAGAGCCTCGGGCCACTAGGGGTACCCCAAGGCGGTGGAAAGCCCATGAGAGGAAGGTGAGCTGTGAGGGAGGAGAGGTGAGACACTTGTGACAGAAAAGAAAAAGAAACCACGCCACGGAGAAGTGGGGCCTGGGTCTCCCATGGAAAGAAAGTGCCTTCCCATCAGTCCCTGCACTGGGCCCCGTGGACCCAGGCGACCCTGGTTATAGGCCTGGGTGCACCTCGGGCCCGCTAGGTGTACCCCAAAGCGGGCAGAAGGCCCATGAGGGGAAGGTGAGGTTTGAGGGAAGAGAGGTGAGACACCTGCGACAGAAAAAAAAAAAACCGTGCGGAAGAGAAGCGGGACCTGGGTCTCCCACGGACGAAAGTGCCTTCTCATCAGCCCCTGCGCTGGGCCCCCTGGACTCTGGCGACCCTAGTTCAAGGACCAGAAGAGACTCCGGCATGCTAGGGTACCCTAAGGAAGCCAGAAAGCCCATGAGAGGAAGGCGAGATTTAAGGGAGGAGAGGTGAGTCACCTGTGTCAGAAAAAAAAAATACATATATATATATATATATATATATATATATATATATATATATATATATATCAGCACCTCGGAGAAGCCGGACCTGGGTCCCCACTGATGAAAGTGCCTTCCCATCAGCCTCTGCGCTAGCCCCGAGAACCTGGCGACCCTGATTGGAGACCCGGGAGCGCCTCGGGCCTGCGCGTGGTACCCCAAAGCAGGCAGAGGGCCAGTGAGGGGAAGGTGAGGCACCTGGGGCGGAGAAAAAAACCGCAGCTTTGAGAAGCGGGGCCTGGGTACCCACGGATGAAGGTACCTTCCCATCAGCCCCTGCGCTAGGCCCCGGCGACTCTGGCATCCATGGTTCGAGTCCAGGGAGCGCCTTGGGCAGCTAGGGGTACCCCAAGTCGAGCAGAAAGCCCATGATGGGAAGTTGACGTTTGAGGGAGGAGAGGTGAGGAACCTGTGGCAGAAAAAAAAAAAAGAAAACAAGCCGCGCCTAGGAGAACCTGGGCCTGGGTCCCCCAAGGATGAAAATGCCTTCCCATCAGTCCCTGCGCTGGGCCCTGTGGACGCTGGAGATCCTGGTTCGAGCCCCGGGTGCACCTCGGGCCTGCTAGGGGTACCACAAGGCGGTCAGAAATCCCATGAGGGGCAGTTGAGGTTTGAGGAAGGAGAGGTGAGGCACCTGTGGCAGAAAAAAAAAAACTGCACCACGGAGAAGCGGAGCCTGGGTCCCCAATGGACGAAAGTGTCTTCCCATCAGCCCTTGCGCTGGGCCCAGGGGAACCTGGCATTCCTTGTTCGAGACCAGGGTGCGCTTCAGGCCGCTAGGGGTACACAAAAGCAGGCAGAGGGCCCATGAGGGGAAGGTGACGCACGTGGGGCAGAGAAAAAAAAACAACAACAACCGTGCCGCGGATAAGCGGGGCCTGGGTCCCCCACAGAAGAAACTGTCTTCCCATCAGCGCTTGCATTGCGCCCTGGGGACCCTGGAATCCCAGGCTCGAGCCCAGCTTGCCCCTGGGACTGCTAGGGGTACCCCAAGACAGACAGAAGGCCCATGAGGGAAAGGTGAGACACCGGTGGCAGAGAAGAAAATAAAAAACTGCGCTTCCAGAAGTGGGGCCTGGGTCCCCCATGGACGAACGTCCCTACCCATAAGTCCTGCACTGGGTCACGGTGACCCTAGCATCCCTGGCTCAAAACAACACTGCGCCTCGGGCCGGCTAGGGGTACCTAAAGGCGGGCAGAAAGCCCATGACGGGAAAGTGAGGCACATGGGGAAAAGAAAAAAAAAACGCCACAGAGAAGAAGAGCCTGGGTCCCCGAGGAAGAACGTGTCTTCCCATCAGCCAATCCGCTTGGCCCAGTGGAACCTGGATTCCATGGTTCGAGCCCAGGGTGTGCCTCGGGCCGCTAGGGGTACCCCAAAGCATGCAGAAGGCACAAGAGAGGAAGGTGAGGCACCTGGGGCAGAGAAAATAAAAACCCAGCCACGGAGAAGCGGGGACTGGGACCTCCACACGGACGAAAGTGTCTGCCCATCAGGCCTTGCGCTGGGCCTCAGGGACCCTGGAGTCCGTGGTTCGAGGTCACAGGGCACCTCGGGCGGCTAGGTGTACCCCAAGGAAGACAGAAGGGCCATGAGGGGAAGGTGAGATTTGAGGAAGGAGAGGTGAGGCATCCATGGCAGGAAAAAAAAAAAAAAACCGCGCCACAGAGAAGCAGGTCATGTGTCCCCTACAGACGAAAGTGCCTTCACATCAGGCCCTGAGGGTTTGAGACAGAATGATGAGTGACTAATGTCTACAGGGATTTTCTCTGGTCGGGGGTGATAAGACGTTCTACAATGGATTGCGAATTAAAATTGAATGTGCACAACCACAGGTATACTAAAAGCCACTCAATTCATGACTTTTAATGGGGGAATCTTATGTGGCGCACTCTCATGGAGAACACGGCAGACATAGTGAGAGAGAAAAAGGTGAGTAAATATCTGAAATGGAGGCAGAAACAGAGAGAATGAAAAGCCCTGTGAATGGAAGGGAGAGCGAAAAGGGAAAATGGTCCTATTTACAAATGACAGATGTGAAACTGGGGTTCACATCAACAGTGTCATTGCAAGGAACGAGGATCACGCTAGCCATATCACCGGTAGTGTGGCAAGCAGGGACGCCGACCTGCTGGAGCGTCATGCCAGCATGGGCTGTGGCATCCACGTGGGCCAGCAGGAGGTTCCCGCTGCACAGCTGTGGGGGGAGGATAGACTGGGTGGTGATATCGGCCATTAAAAGGGGCCTTTTCTGCTGGCAAGAGTGTGACAGTAGCAAGTAGATGGACAGGCCTGCGTGTGAGGACGGAATGCAGGAGGGGCTCTTGTGCGGCTGGGTGTGGGGCCCTCACGGGAACCGTGGAGAAATGGCCAGGTAACTGCGTCATGTGGGCTGGTAGATTGACCAGGGCTTCGAACCGAAGGACAATAACGGGGAGTAGCTGTCAGGCCCTGGGAGTGCCTGAGTGTAAGTGGAGATGGGTTTGGGGTCACTGAGGGATGCGTGGGAGCCATCCCTGTATAGGTACAGGTCATAGGGAGATAGTCTCGTGAGGCCTGTGAGTGTCTAGGGTTGTCCTGGGTGCCTGGGGCTGACTGTGGCAGAAATCTGGGGAAGGCTGGAGAGAAGCTGGGAGACCCAGGAGAGTCTCTGAAGGCAGGGGGTGAAGAGGTGAAAGAAATGGGGAAGGGTTGCAGTAAGGTCCGTGATTTTGTAGGTGATTCCTGGGTGCGGGAAGCTGACTCCAGGTGAAATCTGGAGATGGTTGGAGAGTAGCTGAGAGAGACAGAAGAGTCCCTGAGAGTTGGGGGTGAGAACATGAGGGAGACTGGTGAGTAAGTCAGTGAAATTCGTGAGTTCGGTGGTGTATCGTGGGTGCCTGAAACTGACTCCAGCTGGAATCTAGAGAAGTTTTGAGAGTAGCTGAAAGAGACACAAGAGTACCTGTGGGCTGAGGGCAAAGACATGAGAGAGACCAGGGAGGACCTCAGTGAAGTCTGGGAGACTGAAGGTGATTCCGGAGTGTGGGAGGCTGACTCCCGCTGAAATGTGGGCGTGGTGGGAGAGTAGCTGGGACAGACAGGAGAGTCCCAGGGGGCTGGGGGTGAAGACATGAGAGAGAGTGGGGAGTAACTCAGTGAAACTGCTGAGTTTGGTGGTGATACCTGGGGGCCTGGAACTGATTCCCCCTGAAATCTGGGCATGGTTGGAGAGTAGCTGGGACACACAGGAGAGTCCCTGTGGGCTGGGGGTGAAGACATGAGAGAGACGGGGGAGTAACTGAGTGAAACTGGTGAGTTTGGTGGTGACTCCGGGTTGTCTGGAACTGACTCCAGCTGAAATGTGGGCATGGTTGGAGAGTAGCTGGGACAGACAGGAGAGTCCCTGAGGGCTGGTGAAGACATGAGAGAGACTGGAGAGTAATTGAGTGAAATTGGTGAGTTTGGTGGTGATTCCTGGGTGCCTGGAACTGACTCCCGCTGAAGTGTGGGCGTGGTTGGAGAGTAGCTGGGACACACAGGAGAGTCCCTGAGGGTTGGAGATAAAGACGTGCTAGAGACTGAGGAGTAACTGAGTGAAATTGGGGAGTTTGGTGGTGATTCCGGGGTGCTTGGAACGGACTCCAGCTGAAATGTGGGCGTGGTTGGAGAGTAGCTGGGACAGACGGGAGAGTCCCTGAGGGATGGTGAAGACATGGGAGAGACTGGGTAGTAACGCAGTGAAATTGGTGAGTTTGGTGGTGATTTCTGGGTGCCTGCAACGGACTCTCGCTGAAGTGTGGGCGTGTTTGGAGAGTAGCTGGGACAGACAGGCGAGTCCCTGAGGGTTGGAGATAAAGACATGTTGGAGACTGGGGAGTAACTCAGTGACAGTTGTGGGCTTGGTGGTGATCCCCAGGTTCGTGGAACTGACCTGCGCTGAAATGTTGGCGTGGCTGGAGGGTAGCTGGGACAGACTGGAGGGTCCGTAAGGGCTGGGGGTGAAGACGTGAGAGAGACTGGCGAGGATCTCACTGAGGTCTGTGAGATTGCAGGTGTTTCTGGGGTGTGTGGTACAGACTACCGCTGAAATCTGGGCGTATTTTGAGAGTAGCTGGGACAGACAGGAGAGTCATGGGTGGCTGGGTGTGAGCTGCTGCATGATGGCAGTAAGAACATATGGTATATTATTGATGAATGAGGTGACTGTGAAGAATCTCCAGAGGAGGACACGGGAGAACACAAAGACCTGAGTGACTGCCCTGCTTGGTTAGGAAAGGGAAAAGTAAAGTTGTGGAATTCTGTTGATGATGGATGTGAGAGTGGTGAAGCCCTGCGGGAAGATGTAGAGGACTTCCACATCCCTGGTGAGGAGCTGCCCCTTGGGTCTGAGTTTCTGGGAGGGGAGAGGGAGAAGCTGGGTGAGGCAGACATGAATCTTGAGGAGTCAGGGCTGGGGTCCGCTCATATTCTCCCGAGACCTGTGAGTCTCTGGGGGACCCCTGGGTGCATGGGGCTGACTCGCGCAGGAACCTGGGGATGACCGGAGAGTAACTGGGAGCCACAGGAGGGTCCCTGAGGCCTCGGGGTGAAGAGATGAAAGACACAGGGGTGGAGCACTGTGAGGATCGTGAGTTTGTAGGTGATTCCTGGGTGTGGGGGGCAGACTCCAGCTGATATCTGGGGTTGTTTGGAGAGTAGCGGGGAGACACAGGAGATCCCCCAGAGCTGGGGGTGAGCTGCTGGGTGATGGCAGTCAGAACATGTGGTATATTATTGATGAACGTGGGGACTCTGAGGAATCCTCAGAGGAGGACACGGGAGAGCCCAATGGCTTCATTGATTGCCCATCACGGTGAGGACAGGGAAATGGGAGCTTGTGGGATTCTGGTGATGACAGAGGTGAGTGTGGTGAAGCCCTAGGGGATGGTGAATGGTAGCTCCGGATCCCTGGTGAGGAGCTTCCCCTTAAGCATGAGTTTCTGTGAGGGGAGAGGGAGAAGCTGGGTGAGGCTCGCATGGACCATGGGGAGTCCAGGCTGGGGGACCGTTCAAGAGAAGAGCCAGACAAGACCCTACTGTTCTTAGGTGCAGACATGGTTAGGAAACCTGCAGCACCCAGGGGCCCCTACTAATGTTCTAACTCGCAGAAGGAAGGAGTGTGTGTGCGTGAGTGTGTGTGCGTGTGTGTGTGTGTGTGTTTGTGTGTGTGCGGTGTGATGTATGTGCCCCTGAAGAAAATGGAAATCAACCAAACAATGGGACAGACAGACAGACACACAGACAGAGATTCACTTGCCCAAGTGTTCTCTCCTGTCCTCTGAATCCGCTTCAAAGTCGCAAGATGCTGTGAGCTCCAAGTCCACGCAGAGTCCGCCAAACGCTCCGGCCGCTGATCCGCTCCGCGAAGATCTGAGTACAGGCCAGCCAGGGTGGGTTTAAATAGCCTCGGGCGCAGCCTAGCAGCGGAAAGGGCGGAGCTTCACTCCTCCTTTCCATCAGTCACCCCCAACTTTCCCAGGATACACCTCGTAGGAAACTGTTCTCCTGCTCTGATTTCATGCGCCACCTTTGTGACAATCTAAGAACTTACAAGATTTCTTGGCCAGATATATAAGGAACTGTATGCACTGAAACACTGAAAACCAACTAGTGGTTCTGTGCTTCCCACGTTGTGGTTTTGACACCAGCAGCATCCCTGCCACAATCAAACCCCGGAGATCCGCAGATCTGTGTTGTAACAAGACCTCCCCCTGACCCTGATGCATGGCAGTTGAAGAAGTCTTTCCGTGTAAGCGAAAAGACTTTGAAGAAAAGGTGGAGATATGCGTTGTATAAACATTCTTTTGCTCTGGAACCACGTAGAGACTTGGGAGCCAGTTGGGTGGAGAATTCGTTGGATGAGGGTGCTCGGGTTAGGAATATCAAGGTGTGGCTCCAGATAATCCAATCATCTAATTAAGATTCCAGTTATGCACATCTGTTTTAAAATTCCGTTTGGGTAAATTCTTTTAGTCAGACTGAGAATGGCAAAGCCTCAAACCCAATTTCCAGGGAGGGTGGAGAGCCTCAGGTGGAGTTGATCACCAATAGCGTATGGTTTAACCCATCATGCCTATAGAATGAGGTCTCCATCAAAACCCAAAAGGACTGGGTTCAGAGAGCTTCTGGATAACACTTCCTGGAAGGTAGAGTGCCCCTCCCCACATGCTGGGCCCCACATTTATTTCTGAACTTATCCTTATTTCTTATCCTTATCATGTCTGCACCTAAGAAGAGTAGGGTCTTGTCTGGCTCTTCTTATGAACGGTCCCCCAGCACGGACACCCCAAGGTCCATGCGAGCCTCACCCAGCTTCTCCCTCTCCCCTCTCAGAAACTCAGGCTTAAGGGGAAGCTCCTCACCAGGGATCCGGAGCTACCATTCACCATCCCCTAGGGCTTCACCACACTCACCTCTGTCATCACCAGAATCCCACAAGCTCCCATTTCCCTGTCCTCACCGTGATGGGCAATCAATGAAGCCATTGGGCTCTCCCGTGTCCTCCTCTGAGGATTCCTCAGAGTCCCCACGTTCATCAACAATATACCACAGGTTCTTACTGCCATCACCCAGCATCTCACCCCCAGCTCTCGGGGGGTCTCCTGTGCCTCCCAGCTACTCTCCAAACAACCCCAGATTTCAGCTGGAGTCTGCCCCCCACACCCAGGAATCACCTACCAACTCACGAGCCTCACGGTGCTCCACCCCTGTGTCTTTCATCTCTTCACCCCGAGGCCTCAGGGACCCTCCTGTGGCTCCCAGTTACTCTCCAGCCACCCCCAGGTTCCTGCGGGAGTCAGCCCCATGCACCCAGGAGTCCCCCAGAGACTCACAGGTCTCGGGAGAATATGAGCGGTCCCCCAGCCCTGACTCCTCAAGATTCATGCCTGCCTCACCCAGCTTCTCCCTCTCCCCTCCCAGAAACTCAGACCCAAGGGGCAGCTCCTCACCAGGGATGTGGAAGTCCTCTACATCATCCCGCAGGGCTTCACCACTCTCACATCCATCATCAACAGAATTCCACAACTTTACGTTTCCCTTTCCTAACCAAGCAGGACAGTCACTCATGTCATTGTGTTCTCCCGTGTCCTCCTCTGGAGATTCTTCACAGTCACCTCATTCATCAATAATGTACCATATGTTCTTACTGCCATCATCCAGCAGCTCACCCCCAGCCACCCATGACTCTCCTGTCTGTCCCAGCTACTCTCCAACTACGCCCAGATTTCAGGGGGAGTCTGTACCCCACACCCCAGAAACACCTACAAACTCACAGACCTCAGTGAGATCCTCGCCAGTCTCTCTCACGTCTTCACCCCCAGCCCTTACGGACCCTCCAGTCTGTCCCAGCTACTCTCCAACCACGCCCACATTTCAGCGCGGGTCAGTTCCAGGAACCCTGGGATCACCACCAAGCCCACCACTTTCACTGAGTTACTCCCCAGTCTCCAGCACGTCTTTATCTCCAACCCTCAGGGACTCGCCTGTCTGTCCCAGCTACTCTCCAAACACGCCCACACTTCAGCGGGAGTCCGTTGCAGGCACCCAGAAATCACCACCAAACTCACCAATTTCACTGCGTTACTCCCCAGTCTCTCTCATGTCTTCACCATCCCTCAGGGACTCTCCCGTCTGTCCCAGCTACTCTCCAACCACGCCCACATTTCAGCTGGAGTCCGTTCCAGGCACCCCGGAATCACCACCAAACTCCCCAATTTCACTCAGTTACTCCTCAGTCTCTAGCACGTCTTTATCTCCAACCCTCAGGGACTCTCCTGTGTGTCCCAGCTACTCTCCAACCACGCCCACACTTCAGCGGGAGTCAGTTCCAGGCACCCAGGAATCACCACCAAACTCACCAATTTCACTCAATTACTCTCCAGTCTCTCTCATGTCTTCACCAGTCCTCAGGGACTCTCCTGACTGTCCCAGCTACTCTCCAACCACGCCCACATTTCAGCTGGAGTCAGTTCCACGCACCCCGGAGTCGCCACCAAACTCACCAGTTTCACTCAGTTACTCCCCGGTCTCTCTCATGTCTTCACCCCCAGCCCTCAGGGACTCTCCTGTGTGTCCCAGCTACTCTCCAACCATGCCCAGATTTCAGCGGGGGTCAGTTCCAGGCACCCAGGTATCACCAACCAACTCAGCAATTTCACTGAGTTACTCCCCACTCTCTCTCATGTCTTCACCCCCAGCCCCCTGGGACTCTCCTGTCTGTCCCAGCTACTCTCCCACCACGCCCACATTTCAGCGGGAGTCAGCCTCCCACACTCCGGAATCACCTACAGACTCACAGACTTCACTGAGGTCCTCCCTGGTCTCTCTCAGGTCTTTGCCCTCAGCCCACAGGGACTCTTGTGTCTCTTTCAGCTACTCTCAAAACTTCTCTAGATTCCAGCTGGAGTCAGTTTCAGGCACCCACGATACACCACCGAACTCACGAATTTCACTGACTTACTCCCCCGTCTCCCTCATGTTCTCACCCCCAACCCTCAGGGACTCTTCTGTCTCTCTCAGCTACTCTCCAACCATCTCCAGATTTCACCTGGAGTCAGCTTCCCGCACCCAGGAATCACCTACAAACTCACGGACCTTACTGCAACCCACCCCCATTTCTTTCACCTCTTCACCCCCTGCCTTCAGGGACTCTCCTGGGTCTCCCAGCTTCTCTCCAGCCTTCCCCAGATTTCTGCCACAGTCAGCCCCAGGCACCCAGGACAACCCTAGACACTCACAGGCCTCACGAGGCTATCTCCCTGCGACCTGTACCTATACAGGGATGGCTCCCACGCATCCCTCAGTGACCCCAAACCCATCTTCACTTACACTCAGGCACTCCCAGGGCCTGACAGCTACTCCCCGTTATCGTCCTTCAGTTCGAAGCCCTGGCCAATCTACCAGCCCACATGACGCAGTTACCTGGCCATTTCTCCACGGTTCCCGTGAGGGCCCCACACCCAGCCGCACAAGAGCCCCTCCTGCATTACGTCCTCACACACAGGCCTGTCCATCTACTTGCTACTGTCACACTCTTGCCAGCAGAAGAGGCCCCTGTAATGGCCGATATCACCACCCAGTCTATCCTCACCCCACAGCTGTGCAGCGGGAACCTCCTGCTGGCCCACGTGGATGCCACAGCCCATGCTGGCACGACGCTCCAGCAGGTCGGCGTCCCTGCGGGCCACACTACCGGTGACATGGCTAGCATGACCCTCCTTCCTGGCAGTGACACTGTTGATGTGAACCCCAGTTTCACATCCGTCATTTGTAAATAGGACCATTTTCCCTTTTCGCTCTCCCTTCCATTCACAGGGCTTTTCATTCTCTCTGTTTCTGCCTCCGTTTCAGACACTTACTCACCTTTTTCTCTCTCACTATGTCTGCCGTGGTCTCCATGAGAGTGCGCCACATAAGATTCCCCCATTAAACGTCATGAATTGAGTGGCTTTTACTATACCTGTGGTTGTGCACATTCAATTTTAATTCGCAATCCATTGTAGAACGTCTTATCACCCCCGACCAGAGAAAAACCCTGTAGACATTAGTCACTCCTCATTCTGTCTCAAACCCTCTCCCTGACCCTCAGCCCTAGGTAGCAACTACCTAGTGCGATCAATCCCATATGCATAGATTTCCATATTGTGGACATTTCCTATAAACGGAATTGCACAATAGGTGAGCTGCTATGACTGACATAACACGTAGCACAATATTTTCAAGATTCATCCACATTGTAGGCTTACCCACAGGGGGAAACCACTTTTTGGGGGGTTTTAGTAACACTGGTGTTTTCTCCTTCCTTTCGTCCTTCTTTCCTTCCTTCCTTCCTTCCTTCCTTCCGTCCTACCTTCCTTCTTTCCTTCCTTCCTTCCTTCCTTCCTTCCTTCCTTCCTTCCTTCCTTCCTCCTATTTCTCTCTTACTCCTTCTGCCCTCTCTCTTTCATATGCCTTAGGTGCATCCCACATTCTGCGTTTTTTGGGGGAAATCCTCGACAGGTGCAGGAAAATTGTGTTATTGTAACTATTTACCGCTATCTCTCTTTCACGGCTCTCCATCACTTTTGAACAACTATTGGTTTATCCCAAGTCACTAAGCATATTTTTATTAGGTACACCTGTCACCAGAAGACGCTCCCACCAGTGCCATGACAGTTTGCCAATGCCATGTCATCACGAGAAGTCCCCACCCCTTGCCATGGAAACAGATGGAAGTTACTGCCCATTTCTAGCTATTTCTGAATAACCCGCCCCTTAATTAGCATACCATTAAAAGTGAATCATAAAAATGACTACAAGCCACCCCTAGGCTGCTGCTCTGGGAGCACAACCCACGGAGGGCTCCCTGCCTTGCTGGAGTGGACGCAGGGCTGTAACACCGCCAATGCCTCCGTAGAGCTGCTTTCTTCCACCACAGGCTTGCTTTTGGATTTCTTCCTGAGCGACGCGAAGAACCTGCCCTTCCTCAGTGTGACTCTTGCCTAAAACCTATCCCTGGTATTCTCTTTTCCTAAGCATGCCCTGACTTGTTCTTTCATCTCCTCTGATCTTGCAATTGGTCCTCAGTGACTCTATTCTGCAGATCCAGAAAACTCAAACTTAATCTTCCCAGAGCTCTGTTGTCTCCAATATTGGAATCTCTAGCCTTGTTTTCTCAGACGCCTAGATTACAGGCCTCTCTCTTGAACACCTATTGGTATGGTATCTGGGGATCCTTTAAATACATGATGATTGGCAGGGGTTAAATAGCGGAAATTAGTGTCTGACAATTCACCTTCCAGGATATGGACTGTCATTCCCTCTCTTGGTGGGCCTTAGTCTCTTATCCATAAAAGTAGTGATTGTAATACTCATTTGAATTGCAGATACCTCAACCCGAACCCACCTAATATAATGTAAAACCAAGAATGCAACCCCTTTCCTCACCCAGTGAAGGTAAAGCCCTCAGAGCCAAGGAGAGAATGCTCAGGGATGTTATCTGGGTGTTTCCAACGCTAACCATGTATTGTAGTTTTTAGTGTTCAAGTTTAAGCTTCCCCAGCTTTAATTCTATTGTAACAAGATTTATTTTTGTAATTCCATTTTTGGATTCTTGATTTCTTGGTAAAGAAATACAGTTATTTTTGTATACCAATCTTATATAGTGTTACATTCTTAAATTTGTTCATGAGTCCTAATACGTTTTAGTAAATTTCTTACGATTTTCTAAATGCAAGATCATGTCATCTGTACATAAAGATAACTGTACTTCTTCCTTTCCAATCTAGATGCTGTTTATTTATTTACATTGCCAACTTGTCCCAGCTACCACTGTTATCAAGTAAAAGGGTCTCACTGCCCAAAGCACAAGAAGCCGGTACCATGACACTGAGTTTTCGAGAAAAGAAAAAGTTTAAAGTCAAACCAAAACCTAGGGTACAGGCCGGGCACACTGGCTCATGCCTGTAATCCCAGCACTTTGGGAGGCCGAGGCGGGCGGATCATACGGTCAGGAGATTGAGTCCATCCTGGCTAACACGGTGAAACCCCGTCTCTACTAAAAATACAAAAAACAAAAATTAGCCGGGTGTGAAGGCTGGCGCCTGTAGTCCCAGCTACTCGGGAGGCTGAGGCGGGAGAATGGCGTGAACCTGGGTGGCGGAGCTTGCAGTGAGCCGAGATCGCGTCACTGCACTCCAGCCTGGGCAACAGAGCGAGACTCCATCTCAAAAAAAAAAAAAAAAAAACCTATGGGATACAATAAAAACAGTACTACAGTACTAAGAGGTAAGTTTATAGAAATAAGCACCTACATCAAAAAAAGTAGAAAAGCTTCAAATAAACAACCTAATAATGCATCTTAAATAATTAAAAAAGCAAGAGCAAGCCAAAACCAAAATTAGTAGAAGGAAACATAGCAAAGATCGGAGCAGAAATAAATGAAATTGAAATTTAAAAATATAAAATATCAATGAAATGAAAAGTTAATATTTTTAAAAGACCAACAAAATCAACAAACACTTAACCAGACTAAGAAAAAAGAGAGAAGATTCAAATACATAAAACCAGAGATTAAAAAGGAGGCACTATAACTGATACTGTGGAAATTCAAAGAATCATTAGAAACTATTAAGACCAACTATATTCCAATAAATTGAAAAACCTGGAAGAAGTGGCTGGGCACCGTGGCTCATGCCTGTAATCCCAACACTTTGGGAAGCCAAGGCAGGTGATCACCTGAGGTCAGTAGTTCAAGACCAGCCTGGTCAACATGGTGAAACCCCATCTCTACTAAAAATACAAAAATTAGCCAGGCATGCTGGCATGCACCTGTACTTCCAGCTACTCTAGAGGCTGAGGCAGGAAAATCACTTGAACCTGGGAGGCAGAGGTTGCAGTGAGCTGAGATTGTACCATGCTGCAGCCTGGGAGACAGAGCAAGATTCCATCTCAAAAAAAAAAAAAAACCTAGAAGAAATGGATAAATGAAATTGAAGCCATAATAAAACATCTCCTAGCAAAGAAAAGCCTGGATTCAATGGCTTCACTGGCTTCACTGATTAATTTTACCAAGCATTGAAGGCAGAATTACTATCAATCCTACTCAAACTATTCCAAAAAACAGAGAAGGCTGTAGTATTTCCAAACTCATCCTCTGAAAAAGACCAGTCATCATGTCTAAGTGGGATTTATCCCGAGGATGCCAACATGGTTCAACGTATGCAAATCAATCAATGTGACACATCATATCAACAGAATGAAGGACAAAAACCATATGATAATTTCAATTGATGCTGAAAAGCATTTAATAAAATTCAACATCCCTGTGATAAAAAGAAACCCTCAAAAAAAAACTAGATATAGAAGGAACATACCACAACACAATAAAAACCATATGCAACAGACCCACAGCCAGTATCATCCTGGACAGGGAAAAGCTGAAAGCCTTTCTTCTAAGATCTGGAACAAGACAAGAATGTCCACTTCCAACACTGTTACTCAACATAGTACTAGAAGTCCTAGCTAGAGCAATTCAGACAAGAGAAAAACAATAAAAGGGATCCAAATTGGAAAGAAGTAAAATTATTACAGTTTTCTTGTTTGCAGATGATTAGCTCTTATATTTGGAAAAACCTAAGGACTCCACCAAAAACTATTAGAACTGATCAACAAATTCAGAGTCACAGCATACAAAATCAAACTACAAAAGTCAGTAGCATTTCTAAATGACAAAAATGAACAATCTAAAGAAGAAAATCAAGAATGTAATCCCATTTACAATAGCTACAAATAAAATAAAATAACTGGGAATAAACATAACAGAAGAAGTGAAAGATCTCTACAATGAAAACTATAAAACATAGATGCAAAAAAATTAAAGAGGACACCAAAAAAAATGGAAAGATAGTCCATGTTCATTTATTGGAAGAGTAAATATTGTTAAAATACCCATACTTCACAAAGCAATCTACAGATTCAATGCAATCCCTATTGAAATACTAATAACTCTCTTCACAGAAATAGAAAAAAAATCCTAAAATTTACATGAAACCATAAAAGACCCAGAATACCAAAAGCCATCCTGAGCAAAAAGAACAAAACTGGAAGAATCACATCACCTGACTTTAAATTATAGTACAGAGAAATTATAAACAAAACAGCATGGTACTGGCATAAAACAGACACATAGACCAATGGAACAGAATAGAGAACCCAGAAATAAATCCATACATTTACAATTAACTCATTTTCAATGAAGGTGCCAAGAATATACATGGGGGAGAGGACAGTCTCTTCAACAAATTGTGCTGGGAAAACTAGATATTCATTGTCAGCTTTTTTTTTTTTTTGAGATGGAGTCTAGCTCTGTTGCTCAGGCTGGAGTGCAGTGGCGCGATCTGGGCTCACTGCAAGCTCCACCTCCCGGGTTCACACCATTCTCCTCCTCAGCCTCCCAAGTAGCTGGGAGTACAGGTGCCCACCACCACGCCTGGCTAAATTTTTTTTTGTACTTTTAGTAGAGACAGAGTTTCACCGTGTTAGCCAGGATGGTCTCGATCTCCTGCCCCCATGATCCGCCCACCTCGGCCTCCCAAGTCATTGGCAGAATAGTTAAACTAGAAACCTCTCTTGCACTATATACAAAAATCAAATCCAAATGGGTTAAAGACTTAAATCAAAGACACGAAACTACTGAAAGAAAACATTACGGAAACTCTCCAGGAAATTGCTCTTGGAACAGATTTCTTGAGTAATAGTCCAAAAGCTCAGGCAACCAAAGCAAAAATGAACAAGTGGTATCACATCAAGTTCAAAAGTTTCTGCACAGTAAAGAAAACAATGGACAAAGTGAAAAGACAATCCACAGAATGGAAGAAAATATTTTTGCAAACTATATAACTGACAAGGGATTAATAACCAGAATATATAAGGAGCTCAAACAACTCTATAAGAAAAAAAACTAACAATCTAATTATTTAAATGGGCAAAAGATCTGAACAGACAGTTCTCAAAAGAAGTCACACAGGTCAGGCGCAGTGGCTGACACATGTAATTCCAGCACTTTGGGGAGCCAAGACGGGTGGGCCACTTGAGCCCAGGAGTTCAAGACCAACCTGAACAACATAGCAAATAATTTTAAAAACTACCTGGGCATGGTGATGCATGCCTGTGGTCCCAGCTACTCAGGAGGCTGAGGTGGGAGGATTGCTTGAACCCTGGCAGTCAACACTACATTAAGCCATGATCATACCACTGCACTCCAGCCTGGGTGACAGAGTGAGACCCTGTCTCAAAAAATGAGCAAAAACAAAAAAGAACATGTATAAATGTCAAATAGGTATATGAAAAGTTGCTCAATATCATTGATCATGACAGAAATTGAAATCAAAACTACAAAAATATATCATCTTACCCCATTAAAATGGCTTTTATGCAAAAGACAGACCATAACAAATGCTTTCAAGAATGTGGGGAAAAGGGAACACTCTTACTCTGTTGGTGGGAATGTAAATTAATATATTCACTATGGAGAACAGTATGGAGGTCCCTCAAAAAATTAAAAATAGAACTATCATATGATCCAGCAATCCCACTGCTGGGTATATACCCAAGAGAGGGAAAATTAGTATATCAAAGAGATATCTGCATTCCCATATTTATTTCAGCACTATTCATAATAGCCAAGATTTGGAAGCAACCTAAGTGTGCATCAACAGATGAAGGGATAAAGAAAATGTAGTACATATACACAATGGAGTACTCTTCGGCCATGAAAAAGAATAAGATTCTGTCATTTGCAACAACATGGATGGAACTAGAAGACATTATGTTAAGTACAATGAGCCAGGCACAGAAAGACAGACTTCGCATGTTCTCACTCATTTGTGGGAGCTAAAAATTAAAACAATTGAACTCATCAAGATAGAGAGTAGACTGAGAGTTTCCAGAGGCTGGGAAGAGTAGCGGTGTTATGGGATCTTTGGGGTGTTACTTTTCTAGACAGAAACCTCTATGACTGGTGGCACCTTTGCCTGAGTTTTGCTGGGCCCCACACACTCAGCCTGGCAGGCTGTGCTCTGCTCATGCTACCACGTTGGATCCCATGCCTGCCAAGGGAGACTGCATGGAGTGGCAAGGGGTGTGTGAGTGAGCATGGGGTCTGGCCACTGTGCAGTCAGATTTGCTGGCTGCTGAAGTGGAGCAGGTAGCTCCAGGTGCCAACACAGGCGCCAGCTCTCCACAAGGCTGTGGCTGGACCATGGGCACCTCAAGAAGCTTCCACAGCTGGCACACTGGGAACACAGTGGCACCCAGAAGCTTGGAGATATCAGGAACCAAAGGCCCCAAAGAAGGAATCACAGCTCTGGCTCGGGGAGCTCCCAGGTCTGGGCTCCCCAAAGGGCCATAGCTCTTCTTTCCTTCTCTTTGCCCACAATGTGGCGAGCAAGGGGCATGTCTCAGCCCTGTTTGTGTTACAGCTCTTTCAGCCTCTTCCCTAGGATTTGTCATAATTAATTCCCATATCGTCTATTTTTTTACATGTGTTTCAACTTCAGAAGATGTATGGATCTAAACACAACATGATGTGTTAGCTAGCTGCCATATGAGTTTCTCCCTGTTTCACCACTATGTAGCCTAAAGTTATTCCGTAATCCATGACTATCCTGGCTAAAGAGTCTGAAGATCTTTATTTGGTAGCTATGGCTTCAGCTAGTTCATTTGCTAAGTTACCTAGAGTGGTTGACAGATTTCTAATTATACGTTCATGAGAGGTTACTCCCCACCATGGCAAGAGATTTCTGCCAAACATAGGCCAAAATTCATCTCCTTGGTTTGCAGGTATGGTTTGTCTAATCCTGGAAAATAATTTCGATGAACTACTTCAGCGTTCAGAAACATTGGAGTTATAAATAGGAAGAGGAAGAGCCACATAACCTAATAGACAATTACCTCTCATATGCCAGCGGTCAACACATTCATAAGCCCATGTGTGCTTGATCCAGGGACCACACAGGGTCCCTGACGGATTCTGAAATTTAAGGCTTTCGTTTACTGGTAACAGAGACAGGTTAAAGTACATGTCTTCAGTCTTGAGTAGAGTGTAATCAGTCTGATTTCTTTTTTTTTTTTAATGAGACAAACATCAGGTAAAGACCTTGACAAGAAGGAAGAGAAATCCCGAGATTCTATAATCATAATAATCGAATTGTAATTGCTAGTTTAAGTAGTCCTTCAAAAATACATCTCATTCCTGACAGGATAAAACAAGTTTTTTAAAAATATATTTTATCTGGGTTCACTAGGGAACACTTGGAGCCAGGAAATAATTCAGGATTCAGCCCAAATTATAGGCAAATAATAAAAACTCGGAAAAGAATGATCAGGGCTGGAATCTAATAGCATATGTCACAGTTTTCATTTGAAACATGAATTTTCTCTCTCTAGTCCATCATTTTATCAAAGACAAACCATAGTAGGACAAATTTCTGTGCAAAATAAGTTTTAGTCTTATCATACCTGGTCTGATTATTTGCATAAAGTGCAGCAAGAATATTTATTGACCATATAGGCTTCTTAAAATTGGCTTTGTTGGAACTTTCTAATAAGGAATCTTAGACTTTTAAAAGCCTTGAGGCTAGCCAAGTCAAAGATTTGCATCATACTGTGTCTGTAATACTTTTTTTAACCTACTTTTTTATTATAGTTTAAGTTGTGGGGTACACGTGCAGAATGCTGAGGTTTGTTACATAGGTATACATGTGCTGTGGTGGTTTGCTGCACCCATCAACCCATCACCTATATTAGGTATTTGTCCTAATGCTATCCCTCCCTCCGCCCCCAACCCCCAACACGCCCCAGTGTGTGATGTTCCCCTCCCTGTGTCCTTGTGTTCTCGTTGTTCAACTCCCACTTATGAGTGAGAACATGTGGTGTTTTGTTTTCTATTCTTGTGTTAGTTTGCTGAGAATGACGGTTTCCAGCTTCATCCATGTCCCTACAAAGGACATGAACTCATCCTTTTTTATGGCTGCATAGTATTCCATGGTGTATATGTGCCACATTTTCTTTATCCAGTCTATAATTGATGGGCATTTGGGTTGATTCCAAGTCTTTGTTATTGTGAACAGTCCTGCAATAAACATACGTGTGCATGTGTCTTTATGGTAGAATGATTTATAATCCTTTGGGTATATACCCAGTAATGGGATTGCTGGGCCAAATGGCATTTCTAGTTCTAGATCCTTGAGGAATAGCCACACTGTCTTCCACAATGGTTGAACTAATTTACACTCCCACCAACAGTGTAAAAGCAATCCTATTTCTCCGCATCCTCTCCAGTATCTTTTGTTTCCTGACTTTTTAATGATTGCCATTCTAACTGGCATGAGATGGCATCTCATTGTGGTTTTGATTTGCATTTCTCTAATGACTAGTGATGATGAGCTTTTTTTCATATGTTTGTTGGTTGCATAATTGTCCTCTTTTAAGAAGTGTCTGTTCACATCCTTTGCCCACTTTTTGATGGGATTGTTCTTTCTTGTAAATTTGTTTAAGTTCTTTGTAGATTCTGGATATTAGGCCTTTGTCAGATGGATAGATTGCAAAAATTTTCTCCCATTTCGTAGGTTGCCCTTTCACTCTCATAGTTTCTTTTGCTGTCCAGAAACTCTTTAGTTTAATTAGGTCCCATTTTTCAATTTTGGTTTTTGTTGCCATTGTTTTTCGTGTTTTAGTCATGAAGTCTTTGCCCATGCCTATGTCCTGAATGGTATTGCCTAGGTTTTCCTCTAGGGTTTTTACGGCTTTAGGTATTAGATTTAAATCTTTAATTCATCTTGAGTTAATTTTTATATAAGGTGTAAGGAAGGGATCCAGTTTCAGCTTTCTGCCTAAGGCTAGCCAGTTTTCTCAACACCATTTATTAAATAGGGAATCCTTTCCCCAGTGCTTGTTTTTCTCAGGTTTGTCAAAGATCAGATGGTTGTAGATATGTGGTGTTATTTCTGAGGGTTCGGTTCTGTTCCTTTGATCTATATATCTGTTTTGGTACCAGTACCATGTTCTTTTGTTTATCGTAGCCTTGTAGTATAGTTTGAAGTCAGGTAGCATGATGCTTGAAGCTTTGTTCTTTTTGCTTAGGATTGTCTTGGCTATTCGGGCTCTTTTTGATTCCGTATGAAATTTAAAATATATTTTTCCAATTCTGTGGAGAAAGTCAATAGAGTTTAATGGGGATAGCAGTGAATCTATAAATTACTTTGGGTAGTATGGCCATTTTCACGATATTGATTCTTCCTATTGATGAGCATGGAATGTTTTTCCATTTGTTTTTGTCCTCTCTTGTTTCCTTGAGGAGTGGTTTATAGTTCTCCTTGAAGAGGTCCTTCACATCCTTGTAAGTTGTATTCCTAGGTATTTCATTCTTGTTGTAGCAATGGAGAATGGGAGTTCACTCATAGTTTGGCTCTCTGTTTGTCTGTTATTGGTGTATAAGAAAGCTTGTGATTTTTGCACATTAATTTTTTATCCTAAAACTTTGCTGAAGTTGCTTATCAGCTTAAGGAGATTTTGGGCTGAGACGATGGGGTTTTCTAAATATATAATCATGTCATCTGCAAACAGAGACAATTTGACTTCTTCTTTTCCTAATTGAACACCATGTATTTCTTTCTCTTGCCTGATTACCCTGGCCAGAACTTCCAACACTATGTGGAATAGGAGTAGTGAGAGAGGGCATCCTTGTCTTGTGCTGATTTTCAAAGGGAATGCTTCCAGTTTTTGCACATTCAGTATGTTATTGGCTGTGGGTTTGCCATAAATAGCACTTAATATTTTGAGATACGTTCCATCAATACCAGTTTATTGAGAGTTTTTAGCATGAAGGGCTGTTGAATTTTGTCAAAGGCCTTTTCTGCATCTATTGAGATAATCATGTAGTTTTTGTCATTGATTCCGTTTATGTGATGGATTACATTTATTGATTTGCATGTTGAACCAGCCTTGCATCCCAGGGATGAAGCCAACTTGGTCATGGTGGACAAGCTTTTTGATATGCTGCTGGATTCAATTTTCCAGTATTTTATTCAGGATTTCTGCATTGATGTTCATCAGGGATATTGGCCTAAAATTTCCTTTTTTTGGTTGTGTTGGCCTCATAAAATGAGTTAGGGAGGATTCTCTTTTTCTATTGTTTGGAATAGTTTCAGAAGGAATGGTACCAGCTCCTCTTTGTACCTCTGGTAGAATTTGGCTGTGAATCCGTCTGGTCCTGGACTTTTTTTGGTTGGTAGGCTATAGATTAATGCCTCAATTTCAGAACTTGTTATTGGTCTATTCAGGAATTTGACTTCTTCCATGTTTAGTCTTGGTAGTATTCTCTGATGATAATTTGTATTTCTGTGGGATCAGTGGTGATATCCCCTTAATCATTTTTTATTGCATCTATTTGATTCTTCTGTCTTTTCTTCTTTATTAGTCTGGCTAGTGGTCTGTTTTGTTGATCTTTTCAAAAAACCAGCTCCTGGATTCATTGATTTTTTGAAGGGTTTTTCATGTCTCTATCTCGTTCAATTCTGCTCTGATCTTATTTATGTCTTGTCATCTCCTAGCTTTTGAATTTGTTTGTTCTTTCTTCTCTAGTTCTTTTAATTTTGATGTTAAGGTGTCAATTTTAGATCTTTCCTGCTTTCTCTTGTGGGCATTTAGTGCTATAAATTTCCCTCTACACACTGCTTTAAATGTGTCCCAGAGATTCTGGTACGTTGTGTCTTTGTTCTCATTGGTTTTGAAGAACATCTTTATTTCTGCCTTCATTTCGTTATTTACCCAGTAGTCATTCAGGAGCAGGTTGCCCAGTTTCCATGTAGTTGTGAGGTTTTGAGTGAGTTTCTTAATCCTGCATACTAATTTGAATACATTGTGGTCTGAGAGACTGTTTGTTATGATTTCCATTCTTTTGCATTTCCTGAGGAGTGTTTTACTTCCAATTATGTGGTCAATTTTAGAATAAGTACAATGCGGTGCTGAGAAGAATGTACATTCTGTTGATTTGGGGTGGAGAGTTCTGTAGATATCTTTTAGGTCCACTTGGTCCAGAACTGAGTTCAAGTCCTGGATATTCTTGTTAATTTTCTGTCTCATCGATCTAATATTGACAGTGGAGTGTTAAAGTCTCCCACTATTATTGTGTGGGAGCCTAAGTCTCTTTGTAGGTCTTTAAGAACTTGCTTTATGAATCTGAGTGCTCCTGTATTGGGTGCATATATGTCTAGGATAGTTAGCTCTTCTTGTTGCATTGATCCCTTTACCATTATGTAATGCCCTTCTTTGTCTCTTTTTATCTTTGTTGGCTTAAGATCTGTTTTATCAGAAACTAGGATTGCAACCCCTGCCTTTTGTTGCTTTCCACTTGCTTGGTAAATGTTTATTCATCCCTTTATTTTGAGCCTATGTGTATGAGATGGGTCTCCTGAATACAACACATTGATGGGTCTTGACTCTTTATCCAATTTGCCAGACTGTGTCAACTGGGGACATTTAGCTCATTTACATTTAAGGTTAATATTGTTATGTGTGAATTTGATCCTGTCATTATGATACTAGCTGGTTATTTTGCTCATTAGTTGATGCAGTTTTTTCATCGTGTCAATAGTCTTTATAATTTGGTATGTTTTTGCAGTGGCTGTTACCAGTAGTTCCTTTCCGTGTTTAGTGCTTCCTTCAGGAGCTCTTGTAAGGCAGGCCTGGTGGTGACAATATCTCTCAGCATTTGCTTGTAAAGGATTTTATTTCTCCTTCAATTATGAAGCTTAGTTTGGCTGGATATGAAATTCTGGCTTGAAAATTCTTTTCTTTAGGAATGTTGTGTATTGGCCCCCAGTCTCTTCTGGCTTGTAGGTTTTCTGCCAAGAGATCCACTGTTAGTCTGATGGGCTTCCCTTTGTGGGTAACTCAACCTTTCTCTCTGGATGCCCTTAATATTTTTTCCTTCATTTCAACCTTGGTGAATCTGATGATTTTGTGTCTTGGGGTTGCTCTTCTTGAGGAGTATCTTAGTGGTGTTCTCTGTATTTCCTGAATTTGAATGTTGGCCTGTCTTGCTAGGTTGGGGAAGTTCTCCTGGATAATATCCTTAAGAGTTTTTTCCAACTTGGTTCCATTCTTTCTGTCACTTTCAGGTACACCAATCAAACGTAGATTCAGTCTTTTAACATAGACCTCTATTTCTTGGAGGCTTTGTTCATTTCTTTTCACTCTTTTTTCTCTAATCTTGCCTTCTTGCTTTATTTCATTGAGTTGATCTTCAATCTCTGATATCCTTTCTCCTGATTGATTGAGTCAACTATTGATACTTGTGTATGCTTCATGAAGTTCTTGTGCTGGGTTTTTCAGCTCCATCAGGTCATTTATATTCTTCTCTAAACTGGTTATTCTAGTTAACAATTCATCTAACCTTTATTTTTCAGACTCTTAGCTTCCTTGCATTGGGTTAGAACATGCTCCTTTAGCTCGGAGGAGTTTGTTATTACCCACCTTCCGAAGCCTACTTCTGTCAATTCGTCAAACTCATTGTCTGTCCAGTTTTGTTCCCTTGCTGGCGGGGAGTTGTGATCTTCTGGAGGAGAAGAGGCATTCTGACTTTTGGAGTTTTCAGCATTTTTGCACTGGTTTCTCCCCATCTTTGTGGATTTATTTACCTTTGGTCTTTGATGTTGGTGATGTCGATACTATTCCTTTCTGTTTGTTAGTTTTCCTTCTAACAGTCAGGTCCCTCTGCTGCAGGTTTTCTCGAGTTTGCTGGAGGTCCACTCCAGACCCTGTTTGCCTGGGTATCACCAGTGGAGGCTCAGTTGGAAATGCATGAACCACCTGACTTCTGTGTTGATCTCACTGGGTGCTGCAGGCCGGAGCTGTTCCTATTCAGAAATCTTGCCAGATCTCCTGTAATACTTTAATGAATGGGTGTAGTCCTCTCTTCTCAAGGTCCCCAAATATCTTGAGGTTCCTGGGCCCTTCAGAAAGTGACATTCTTTACTTCTTACCACAAGGATAGCAACTTTGTAAAGGACCTTTGTAGACAGGACATCAAGCCAGTCATTCTAAGGGGCTTTGTATTGGTGCTATAAAGTCAACCTCAATTCCTTAAAGTGGTCTGGTTGTATCTGCCATTCGAGTTAAAGCCTTGATAAAACAAACAGTGTCTCCAATTGAATCTTGTTTCCAAAAACAGATTCTTATTGAAATTATGTAAATAATTATATTGCCATAATTTAAGAATGCTCACGAATGGCTTCTGAATTTTGGAGAAATCAGCTAGAGAGACAGATAAATGGCTCAAATTTTTGTTCACAATGTAGTTTAACTAATGTATTGTAAGTTAAAAATAGCTGAAAAGAAAAAAAATTCTTGACTTTGGAAAACAAAACATAAAGAGGATCAACAATGTTTCTAATGGAAGGGCCATGGATAAAATCTTTTCCTTCTTTTATAAGTTCAGTCCCATGTAACTAAATCTTGTTCTGCTTGATTTCAAATAGCAATTCTCATTCAGTTTTTTGTGTTTTGCTTGATTTCAATTAGAAATTCTCATTCAGCTTTTTAGAGTCCTGGAAGATTTTCCTAGTCCAATGGTATGATCCCCAAAGTTATCTGAAACCATATTTAAGAGAACTTGTCAGAATCCTTTCCATTAAAAGTAATTTAGATGATAGCTGATTGTAAAGGCTTTTTTTTTTTTTTTTGAGACACGGTCTGGCTCTATCACTCAGGATGGAGTGCAGTGGCATGATCTTGGTTCACTGCAATCTCTCCCTCCCAAACTCAAGCCATCCTCCTACCTCACCCTCTGAAGTAGCTGGGACCATAGGCATGCACCATCATGCCTGGCTAATTTTTGTATTTTTGTAGAGACAGGATTTTACCATGTTGCCTAGGCTGCTTTCAAACTTCTTAGTTTAAGCAATTCACCCACCTCGGCCTTGCAAAGTGCTGGGATATTTACACGCATGAGCCACCATGCCCTGCACCATGCCCAGCACCGTGCCCTGCATGGCCTCCAGCACCATGCCCGGCCTTTAAAGGGTTTTAGAGAAGAACTTTAATCAATCACCGTGGATGACAAAAACTTAGAATAGCCTTTGGTTAAAATCCAGTGGAAGTTCTCAAATCTCGAGAAAATTTAGTTATTTGTATTATATGTAGCATTTTAAGCCAGAATCATGACTGATGGCAATGCATCAGATCCATCAGACTTCCACAAATTTTATATAATCTTTAGAATATTTATATTAATAATATATCTATACACATACAACTTTAGAAAATATTTAACATCATCAAAATTATGACTGAAACCCTATTAGATTTTTATAATTTATATAACGTTTAAAATATTTATATTAATAACATACCTATAAAAGTAACCAAAAGAAGATTTAAGCTGGGCACAGTGGCTCATGCCTGTAATCCCAACACTTTGGGAGGCCAAGTTGGACAGATCATCAGAGGTCAGGAGTTCGACATCTGCCTGGCCAACATGGAGAAATCTTGTCTCTACTAAAAATACAAAATTAGCCGGGCATGGTGGCACGTGTCTGTAGTCCCAGCTACTTGGGAGGTTGAGGCAGAAGAATTGCTTGAACCTTGGGGCAGAATTTGCAGTGAACCTAGATCATGCCACAGCACTCCAGCCTGGGTGACAAAGCAAGATTCTGTCTCAGAGAAAAAAAAAGAAGATTTAGTGTTACTTATCTTTTGGCAATGCTTCCCATACAATGTTACCAACTAAGTTTTAGCAAAGATGTCAAAAAATTGAAAACATTTGACCTAAACGGAATGGCAGTTTATTGTTTTTTATTTTATTACTTTTTTGAGACAGGGTCTCACCCTGTTGCCCAGGCTGGAGTGCAGTGGTGAAATCATGGCTCACTGCAGCCTCAACTTCCCAGGCTCAGGTGATTCTCCACCTTAGTTTCCCAAGTAGCCAGGACTATGAGCATGTGCTACCACACCTAGCTAGCTTTTGTATTTTTAGTAGAGATGGGGTTTTGCCATTTTGCCCAGGCTGGACTTGAACTCCTGGGCTCAAGTGATCCACCCACCTTGGCCTCCCAAAGGGCTGGAATTACAGACAAGAGCCGCTGCACACAGCCACATGTCATTTTTAAATAACATTCATTTAATTAGCATGACAACCAAAAGACATCAAAAGCAACATAGAAGGTTACATGGATGTGAAAACTGAAAACCCTCAGTTTTCCCAAGTAATTAAAAAAAAAATAAAGGCAACACATGGATTATCTTGATAAAACCTAAAATCTTTATTACAGGCCAGTCATTTAAAGGGTAAAAGCTCCTGTGGCATAATTGTCTCTTCTTATGGGAAGCTAATTTAAATCACTTGGAAGTCAAACCGATGACAAGGAGACTTGAATTTAATTAGACATAGAAAGAGTGTGTCCAGGGTCATGAGTGAGCATAATATTACAGAGGAATGTAAACAGGAAAACCAGAGCATAGAGAAGTGGGGATCCATAGCTCACAATGATAGCATGGAAGTTTCCTGGTTACATGAAGTAATTAAGACATATTTAAAAGCCAAGAGTACAAAATTAGACCTGATGAAAAAGCTGAAGGAGTTATCATCCCAGCCAAGAAGGAAACCCAAGCCTTTTATTCCTTCTCAAGAAGAAACAGAAGACAGTGATGTGATCTGTGAGTCATGTGTAACATGAAAGTACAGGAAACGTTGAACTTCTGATATACAAATCTGAAAAAATTTTATAGTAACAGATATCAGGATTAAAAGTCAATATTTATTACCTCTTATTATGAGCAAATAAATACATTAAGAAAACCTTGTTGTTTTAACCAAATTTTTTTGCTTTTTATCACTATGTTTTTAATATTACAGCTAATTTAAATAAACTTTATAAACAATCTATCTGATCTCAATCAGTTTTGACCTCGAGGTAACATTTACATAAACTTTTAATAACCTTGTATAATTTTTTCCATCTTTCCCAACTTTTTATACACATTTAATTTTATCTATCTTTTTTATTCCTTCAATTTAAAATAATCCTTAAAAATCTCTAAGCGAATTTACTTTCTCTGAAACAAAAACCCGTATACATTTTGCATACAGAATTGTTTCTCTTGTATCTAATAGTCTTAATCACATATATCTACCAAGATATTAACACTTAGTAACCCTTATTTTAATAAAAAACTTAGGAAGAAAGAAATCTTGAATTGTCATATAGCAGTATCTTACATATGAGAATGATTTCATAATTTAGAATTATGTATTCCTAAAACATATTTTTTAAGGTGGATTTTCACTCTTGTTGCCCAGGCTGGAGTGCAATGGTGTGATCTCAGCTCACTGCAACCTCCGCCCCCCAGGTTCAATCAATTCTCCTGCCTCAGCCTCTCGAGTAGCTGGGATTACAGGAACCCACAACCACACCTGGCTAATTTTTTGTATTTTTTAGTACAGATGGGGTTTCACCATGTTGATCAGGCTGGTCTTGAGCTCCTGACCTCGGGTGAGCCACCTGCCTTGGCCTTCCAAAGTGTTGGGATTACAGGCGTGAGCCACAGTGCCCGGGCTAAAACTTAAGTTTTAAATTGGAAATAACCCAGATATTTAATGAGTATCTATTATTTAATTTAACATAACTAAAATTTCAAAAATAGGCTGGGCATGGTGGCTCACACCTGTAATCCCAACACTTTAGGAGGCCAAGGCAGGAGTATCGTGAGACCAGCCTGAGCAAAATAGCGAGATGCTGACTCTACAAAAAAAATAAAAGTTAGCTGACCATGGTGTTGCATGCCTGTAATTAACAGCTTCTTGGGAGGTTGAGGTGGGAGGATCCCTTGAGTGCAGGAGGTCAAGGTTGCAACGAGCTGTGATCATGCCACTGCACTTCAGCCTGGGTGACAGGCAGAGACATTGGCTCAAAAAAATTTCAAAAATACATTAAAATGTCTTGTATAGACATTTATCCATTTACATTTACTTATTTTTGACAGTTTATCTAGAGTATTTGTGAGAACTGAGGTATTAGACAAAGCTAGTCATCATTTCTAGGTTATTTTCTTTTTAACCATGTTATAGCCTGTGAATATCAGGTGTTCACATAAGTGAGGATTTCAAAGTTAAATACAAGGGTATTTTACCAATAACTCAGAAAATTACATTATTTTTGTTCAACAAACCGTATTAAATTGGTCTTATGTATTTAAAAAATCACATAAACAAATATTCTTTTTTTCCCTGTGTTTATAGCTTTATAACCTTCATGCCAAACCCTAGCACCTTAAAATATCTAGCAAATGTAAATATAAAACACAGTCAAAAATGTATGCTGACAATTCTGAAGACATTTCTATTTTTATTTTATCAATACTTTTTAAATTATTTGTATTTATAAAAGAACTCTTTTGTCTGGGCACAGTGGTTCATGCCTGTATCCCAGCACTTTGAGAGGCTGAGGCAAGAGGATCACTTGAGCCCAGGAGTTTGAGACCAGCCTGGACAACATAGTGAGATCCAATCTCTACTAAGAATAAGATAAAAAATTGCCAGGCATGGTGGTGCATGCCTATTGTCCCAGCTACTAGAGAGGATGAGGCAGGAGGATTGCTTGAGCCTGGGAGGTTGAGATAACAGTGAGCTATGATCCCACTACTGCACTCCAGTCTGGGGAACAGAGTAAGACCGTAGAGTAAGACCTTGTCTCAAAAAGAGAAAAAAATAAAAAATGGTTTCATTCTTTTGTTTTTCTTCAGCCAAGTAACCTTGAATTGGTAACACCACAGACAGTAAGTCTTATCTCAACACCAGTAGGCAAATCAGCAGATTCAAAGTAGGCAGGGAAAAAAAAAGATAGGCAAAAGAACTGAGACTTTTTCATTTTAGGGTTTTTTAAAATAGTAACTATTTGAGTTTTGAATTTTCTTTCATGTAATTTGGCCGTCAGGTTTAAAGTGTGCACTAGAGACCAGGTGCAGTGGCTCATTCATTTAATCCCAACAATATGGGAGGCTGAGGCAGGTGGATCACTTGAGGCCAGGAGTTTGAGACCAGCCTGGCCAACGTGACAAAACCCCATCTCTACTGAAAATACAAAAATTAACTGGGTGTGGTGGTGTGCACCTGTAGTCCTAGCTATTCAGGAGGCTGAGGCAGGATAATCGCTCAAACCTGGGAGGTGGAGGTTGTAGTGAGCCGCGATTGTACCACCATACTCCATCCTGGGCAACAGAGCAAGACTCTGTGCCAAAAAGAAAAAGAAAAAATATATAAATATAAATATAAATATATAAATACAAATATATATATGTATATATATATATATGTGTGTGTATATATATATGTATATATATACATATATACATATATATATACATATATATACACATATATATACATATATATATACATATATATATACATATATATATACACATACATATATATACATATATATATATATATACACACATATATATACATATATATATATATAGGCTGGACACAGTGGCTCATGCCTGTAATCCCAGCAGTTTGGGAGGCCAAGGTGGGTGGATCACTTGAGATCAGGAGTTTGAGACCAGCCTGGTCAACATAGTGAAACCTCATCTCTACTAAAACCACAAAAATTAGCCGGGTATGGTGGCATACACCTGTAATCGCAGCTACTCAGGAGGCTGAGACAGGAGAATTGCTCGAACCTGGGAAGTGGAGGTTGCAGTGAGCCAAGAGCGCACCACTGCACTCCAGCGTGGGCAACAGAGCAAGACTCTGTCTCAAAAAAGTGTGTGTGTGTGTGTGTGTTTGTGTGGCTAGTATGGTCCATAATATATAACCAGGTCGAGTCCCAGAAAACCTAGCAAGCTTAAGGTTAGAGCTTCTCATTTTGGCCTTTTCAAGATTAAATCTCCTTTAGTAAGCCCTTGCCCTCTAGGGAGGTACTTGCCAGAGCGCTGCCTGAAGTTGGTTTTCTGATGCCCTGTTGTTTCTGTTCTGAATCGTTTATTTCTCATTATAAGAGCTCAGCAAAGCAGGCAGAATTAAAAAGCAGAGACATGAAGGCTTTAAAATAATGGACTTCACTCCTACACTGAATCTCAGGTCCCCAGAAAGACAGAAACACCATGGGACCACAGCAAAGGCAGAAGGAGGAGTGAGAGAGGGAGGTGGACAGAACAACAAACAAGAGTTGGCTCTCAATTTTTCACGTGTGCCATTTTCTTTAGGTTTTTCTAGTTTATGGAGTCTCTTTGTTCCAGTTGAGCACACAGATAAACTAGAAATCTCACAAGGCTTTTGCTGAGAACATCAAAGCCTTTAACCTCTGTTGGGCCAAATATTTAGACCAAAAATACAGATAGACACACAAAAGCCAGAACCAGACCAGATTGAGTAGCTCAGTACCTACAGCCTTTATTCCCTTTATTCTTTAGGGTTTGAACTCAAACCAGATTCAGGATTCTAACCAAACCAGGACCCTCCTGGGGTGAAACTGAAACCCCACAGTCTAGACAAGGTTGGGGGTCTTTTTATATTTTTTATTTTTTTGAGATGGAGTTTCACTCTTGTTGCCCAGGCTGGAGTGCAATGGTGCAATATTGCCTCACAGCAACCTCCGCCTCTCAGGTTTAAGCACTTATCCTGCCTCAGCCTCCAAAGCTGAGATTACAGGCTTGTGCCACCATGCCCAGCACATTTTGCATTTTTAGTAGAGACGGGGTTTCTCCATGTTGGTCAGGCTGGTCTCAAACTCCCAACCTCGGGTGATCCACACACCTAAGCCTCCCAAAGTATTGACATTACAAGCATGAGCCACCGCACCCGGCCTGCTTGTTCTTTTCATTTCATCCTGATCTCCGAATACAGGAGAGTAGCTGATTTGGTGTTCACTAACAAGCACAGAAGCTTTGTTATATTTACAGTGTCATTCTTGGCAAAACCTGAAGTTTTGCCTCCCGGGTTGATGCCATTCTCCTGCCTCAGCCTCCTGAGTAGCTGAGACTATAGGCGCCCGCCACCTCACCCAGCTAATTTTTTGTATTTTTAGTAGAGATGGGGTTTCACCGTGTTAGCCAGGATGGTCTCGATCTCCTGACCTTGTGAACTGCCCACCTCAGCCTCCCAGAGTGCTGGGATTACAGTCGTGAGCCACCGCGCCCAGCCAGAAGCTCTAATTTCAATGATGATTGTGCTTTTTATCTCTTCCTCAGCATCTGACTCATGATAAAATTTCAGGTGTCTTGATGGTATCTAAATCAGTTGTTGATTCGGTCCTGGAGGAACACAAGCATAATCTCTATGCCAAGTTATAATTTTACCTATTTCCCAACTTTTTGTTATTGGATCTCTCTACCAAACCAGTTGTTCTGCTTCTGTCTTTGCAGCTGGTTTCTGTAGATGCTGTTCAGCTGCTGGTAACATCTGGCCTTTGGGCAGGCTCAAAAATTTGAAAGTTAATAATGTTAGATTCAATTGTGTATGGGCTATCCCATAATCCCTGTTTCTCCCCCTTTTTTTTGTTTTTATTATCAGTTGTTCATCTGTATGCAATCGTAACTGAGCATTTTCAATTCACTGTGTGGAATGAACTATGTATGAAGAATCAGAAATCACATTAACAGGCATATCAAAAGCAGTCAATACCTCAATTACAGATACAAGCTCCGCTTTTTGAGCTGAAGTATAGGGTGTCTGGAAAACTTTACCTTTTGATCCAGAATAAGAAGCTTTACCATTACTAGACCCATCTGTGAAACAACGAAAACGCTTAGCAGGCTGCAGGTTGTTTACTGCAGGAATTGTAAATGCAAACCGTTCACAGTCTTGCTCAGCTAAAAGGGTAGTAAAGAAACAGTCTTTTAAATCTGTGACTATTAAAGGCCAATTTTTTGGAATTATAGTAGGAGAAGGCAATCCTGGCTGTTATGTTTCCATAGGTTGTATAACTGAATTGATGGCTCTTAAGTCAGTTAACATTCTCCATTTACCTGATTTTTTCTTAATTATGAACACTGGAGAATTCCAAGGGGAAAATGTTGGAGCTATGTGCCCATTTTCTAATTGTTCAGTAACTAATTTCTCTAAAGCATCCAGTTTCTCTTTGCCTAGCAGCCATTATTCTATCCAAATTGGCTTATCTGTTAACCATTTTAAAGGTATAGGTTTTGGAGGCTTAACAGTGGCCACCATCAAAAATGGTATCCTAATCTTTGGCAGGAACTTTGTCTTTCCGTTTGAAGCAGTTCTTTCAAACCTTGCAATTTTTTTCTACTCCTATACCAGGGACATGCCCCATTTCGTGCATCATATGTTGACTTTGAGGGCTGTATAATTGTTATGGAATTAGAACTTGTGCTCCCCATCGTCATAATAAATCTCTCCCCCATAAATTTATAGGTACAGAAATTGCAATTGGTTGAACAGTCCCAGGTTGTCCATCGGGCCCTTCACAATGTAAAATATAGCTACTTTGATACACTTCTGGAGCTTTAGCAGTTTCCACTGTGTTAAATTGAGTGGGCTGAATTGGCCACATGGACAACCAGTGCTGTAGAGAAATGATTGAAATGTCCACTCCTACTAAAAAAAAAAAAATAGTATCTACCAAACCTTTAAAGTTCTTTCCCTGGATAGTTATTTCACAGATAGGATGTTTATCAGTAATTTGATTTACCCAATAAGCTGCCTTGCCTTTTTTATTTGTGCTTCCAAATCCTCCAGTTCATTTAATTTCACTTTTTCCCATTCCCACATGCGGCACACTCAGGAGCTGTGCTATGCGCACTCCTGGCTGTGCTTTCCAGGGAACAGAAGTAGATATCACAATTTGAATTTCTTCATTGTAATCTGAATCAATGACTCCAGTGTGTATTTGTACCCCTTTTAAACTTAAACTAGACCTTCCTAAAAGTAATCCCATTGTCCCTCCTGGCAACGGTCCACAGACTCCTGTTGGGACCTTTTGCGGGGGTTCCCCAGGCAGAAGGCTCACAGCTTTTGTGCAGCATAAATCTACTGCGACACTATGGGCTATGGTGGGGGACAGATAATGTATGGGGGTGAGGGAATGGCCTGAGCTGGAAATGCCCTTGTTTAGAACAGGGCCTGGGATGGGCCCATCAGGGAGTTTCCCAAAATCGGGTTCCCTTCTTTATCAAACTTAGAGTGACACTGATTAGCCCAAAGTTTTCCTTTTTTACATTTTAGACATATTTCAGGATCCGCAGTTTTCTTTTTTCACCTATCTGGTGGCCTGACTTGCTGATTTTTTTTTACATTCTTTTTAGTATGACCATGCTTCCCACAGTTAAAACAAGCGCCAGGAAATAGAGTATTTCCTTTATCCACTCTCAGTCCTGCCATCGCCTGTGCCAACAAAGTAGCTTTATGTAGATTATCTCTGATATCATCACAGGCCTTGTTATAATCAACTAAATGTGCTTTCCCTCTGATAGGTCACAGAGCAGTCTGGCAATAGGGATTAGCATTGTCAAAACTAATAACTGCAACACTATATCCTAAGCAGCCAAATCTGCAATCATCTTTTTAAGAGACTCCTGTAACCAAGCTATAAAATGCACATATGGTTCTCTTGGTCCCTGTTTTATAGCACTAAATGAAGGGTATTGTTCTCCATATGAAGTGATTTTTTCCAAGCTCTAATGCATACTCCTCTAAGCTGTTCTATGGCATCATCCTGCTTGACCACTTGTGCATGTAAACCAGCCCAGCCACCAACCCCCAAAAGTTGGTCTGCAGTTATATTAATTTGAGGTTGGGCCCAGGCATTGAGAGCAGCCTGAATGGAAGCTTCATCTGCCCACTAAGTTTTAAATTGTAAGAACTGAGCAGGAGTTAGACAAGCTAGAGTAAGAGTGTCCCAGTCAGTAGGAATCATCCGACTGGAAACAGCAACATTCTTTAACAGTCCCATTTCAAAAGGAGAACCTGGTCCATACTGATTTATAGCTTGTTTAATTTTTTTTTGAGTAATTTAAAAGGAAAAGGCTCAAATGTAGCTATAATATTTCCCTGTTGATCTGGGGGGTGTATTCAAACAGGGAACTGCCAAGCCTCTAAATCCCACTTTTGTCTAGCTTGCTGAATTCCTGCCTGAATAGAACTAAGCAGTCGCTCAAGTCACCAGGGCAACTATTTTTCACCTAGTGTCCTCCAGAAAAGAAAGATCTAGAGGGTCGTTTTCTTCAAAATAATAATGAGGGGGTGCAGAAGGGTAGGGATGAACCTCTCCCTCCTTTTCTGCTTTAGCTTTAGGTGGCAAATAAACCTGGTCTGTAACCTCTACTGTTACTTTGTTATACTCTCCTTCCTCCTCATTATCAGTGTGAAAAAATTCCAAAGTAGAACGAACCACAGCCCACACTTGTCCCATTGTTACCCTGATGCTTCTGAGCTCCCCTTCTGACTCACCACGGGGATTGCTTTAAGAGTACTCGGATGTCCTCCAGCTAGTTCCACATTCTCCAATCGTTGCTCCAGCGATCCTTTGACCTGTATTCGAGCCCCCATGAATGGGCACCACTTGCTGAGACCAGGTCGGTTGGGGAGACCCTAACCCAGCAGCACTAGAGGAATTAAAGACACACACACTGAAATATAGAGGTGTGAAGTGGGAAATCAGGGGTCTCACAGCCTTCAGAGCTGAGAGCCCTGAACAGAGATTTACCCACGTATTTATTAACAGCAAGCCAGTCATTAGCATTGTTTCTATAGATATTAGATTAACTAAAAGTATCCCATATTCTTAAGGCACAGATCACTCATACTATTGTTTGTGGCTTAAGAATGCCTTTAAGTGGTTTTCCACCCTGGACGGGCCAGGTGTTCCTTGTCCTCATTCCGGTAAACCCACAACCTTCCAGGGTGGGTGTTATGGCCATCAAGAACATGACACAGTGCTGCAGAGATTTTGTTTATGGCCAGTTTTGGGGCCAGTTTATGGCCGGATTTGGGGGGAGCTTGTTCCCAACAGTTCCTCAGGGTAAGGGTGCCCTAACTCCTGTGGGGACCTTCTTTCGTGGCTCCTCAGGAAGTAAGGAGATGGGAATTGTGCTGTAGAGGTCTACAGCAGCACTGCTTGCTGAGGCGGGGGACAATTGCTGTACATTTGTAAGGGCAGTGGCTGTGCTGGGTATGCCTCAGTTTGTTGAGGGGCTTGAGGTGGGTCCCTCTTCCTATTTCCTCAAAGAGGTTGTTCATCTTTGCTAAATTTAGAATGACACGGACTTGCCTAGTGATTGCCTTTCTTACACCAGGGACATACACTGGGTCTTTTCTGTTGATTGATGGTAGTAGTTTTCGTCTTTTGAATTCCTTTCTACATTCCTTTCTTGTGTCCAATTTGCCCACAATTAAGGCAAGAGCCTGAGAAGTGAAACATATTTTTTCTTACTCTTAATCTAGCCATAGCCTGAGCTAAAAGAATAGCCTTATGTAAGTTACCTCCAATGCCATCGCAAGACTTAATATATTTAGTTAAATGAGCCTTCTCAGATATCTAATAGCAGTTTGACACTCTGCATTAGCATTATTGTATGCAAGAAGCTGTATTACAACATCCTGAGCTGTTTTGATCATTTATGGCTTTATACACAGCCTCTTGGAGCTGAGCAATAAAATTAATATATGGTTCTTTAGGTCCTTGTCAGACAGAACTGAAATAAGGATACTTTTCCCCTGTAACATTTATCCTTTTCTATGCATGTAAGCACATGAAGCACAGCTGAACAATGGCAACATCTTCCATTACTGCTTGATTCTCTAATCAACCCCAGTTAGGGCCAACTCATATTAACTGATCAAAGAAAACAGGCACAGGTGGCTGCAGGTGTGTGTTTTCTTTTGCCTGAGTTTGAGTTCATCAGCCTACCAAGTTTTAAACTACAAGTACTGAGATGGAGTGAGAACAGGTTTTGTCAAAGTATCCTAATTATATGGTATTAATCTATTATCAAGAGCCATATTTTTAATAAAGATTGCGCAAAAAGAGAGTTCAGTCCATATTGACTAATGACTTGCTTAAATTCTTTAGTAACTTAAAAGAAAAAGCAGGTTAATTAGCTATATTCTGTCCTACTTGCTGGATTATAGTAACAGGAAATTGCCATGCTTCAAGGTCTCCCTTGGCTTTAGCTTTTTGAATAGAATTTTGTCTAGCACCACCAATTGCTCCAGGTTTTAATGTTGTAACTACAGGAGCAGTAAGTTTTTCAGCTAATTTATTTTCTCACCCATTTAGGGGAGAGAGAGGAGGTGGCCATTCACTTAATTCAGCAGGTGGAGCCAACGGGCTAGTAAAACACACTTTTTAAAGTTTTTCTTTCTTTTCTTTAATCTCCTCCGGTAGCTGCTCCTCACACTCAGAATTTGAGGTTAGTTTTTTACACTCATCCTCCTCTTCCTCATCTGAATCTGCCTCATCATCTGTTTGAAATGGCTCAAGGGCTGCCTTTATTAGTGCCCACACTGACCATATATAAACTGGAATTTCTGCTCCATCTTTATATGCCTTTTAAAAACCTCTTCCAATTCTCTCCCATTCATCCAACTTCATAGTCCTTTGCTCTGGAAACCATGGGCAAAACTGCTTTACTGTACTAAAGAGTGATAACAAATTCTAAGTACTAAATTTCACTCCCCATCTTTGTATGTCCTCGGGTGTCTTTTGATGATGTGTCCTCTGCTTTCATATGCTCTAGCCTTCCTTCACCGGGTCTTTGTCACCCCATGTTGGGCGCCAGGCATGTTGGGGTGATCAGACCCAACACTAGGTCATGGGGGTGATGAAGTCCGGCAGAGTCAAAGGAATGAGAAAAAGACAGTTTGAGAGAGAAAGTGGGACCAGGAGACCATCACGAGTGTGGAGTCTGCAAAGTCCCCAAGCTCTGGGAGCCCACGCTATTTGTTGGTGCTCAAACAAAGAAACAGGTGGTGAGGATGTGGGGGTTAAAAGGAAATGGTGTATCAAGTGAATGAGAAACATATGGCCCTGCCTCAGCTTCTCTTCCAACACTCAGCTTTTCTCCCAACACATTCCCCTTATGAACAGGAATAAAATAGGGATGCCTGTTCTCCCCACTCCTGTTTAACAAGTCCTAGCCAGAGCAAGCAGGCAAGAGAAAGCGATAAAAAGCATCCAAATAGGAAATGAAGTCAAATTATCTCTCTTCACTGATGATATGATTCTACACCTAGAAATCCCTAAAGACTGTGCCAAAAGGCTCCCAGAACTGATAAAAAAAAACTTCAGCAAACTTTCAGGATAAAAAAAAAATCAACATATAAAAAGAAGTAGCATTGCTGTTCACCAAAAATATTTAAACTGAAAGGTAAATCAAGAGTGCAATCCTGTTTACAACAGCAACCCCCAAAATAAAATAAAAGAAGAATATGTCTAACCAAGGAGGTAAAGGATATCTAAAAGGAGAACTGCAAAACACTGCAGAAAGAAATCACAGATGTCGAAATAAATGGAAAACCATTCCATGCTCATGGATTAGAAAGATCAATATTGTTAAAATGGCTATACTGCCAAAAGCAATCTACACATTCAACACTATTCCTATGAACAACCAGTGTCGTTTTTCACAAAATTAGAAAAAAATATTCTAAATTTCATAGGGATTTTTAAAGAGCCCAGACAACCAAAGGAAATCTAAGCAAGAAGAACAACGCTGGAGACATCACATTACTTGACTTCATACTATACCCTAAGGCCACAGTAGACAAAATAACATGGTACTGATATGAAAACAGACACAAAGACCAATGAAACAGAATAGAGAACCCCAAAATAAACACATGCACCTACAGCCATCAGCTTTCCCAGGATAACACAAAGAGAGCCAAGTGGCACCTGCACATTACACTGTGAAAGAAAAACCCAAGCTCAAGAAACCCCAACTTGTGTTATTGGAAGTTCACTTGGCTGTATGCTTCCCAAGAGGGAGAAATTATCTGCATTATACTAGACAGTAAATAAACTTTTCCTTTGTTCCAGAAGGAGGTACTGGTTTTCTATTCCAAGGCTGTTTTCTATACAAACATGCTTGAAAACAATCATTTGGAACAATAAAGTCATTGTCCATACTTGCAAAATGTGCGGAAATTAAAGACCCAAAAATTGTTTCTCTACCAATTTCTATTTTTTAAAAATCAAATTTTCCCCATATAATATGCTTTTAATATGTGATCATATTCTGAAATCGTCTTGGCATTTACCCCCATTTCTGAGTCCAGAAGGATACAATAGATTTAATTTAATTTAGTAACACTTCAAATAATAGTGATTGTAATAGCAGAGCTAGTTTGTAGCATAAAGAAAAAATAATAATATTATTAGGTGACACTTACAAAAAATGCTAGTCACCATTTCTAAGTATCATGGTAAGTACAGTGATTATTTTCTTTCTTTCTGACTCTTTTTTACTTTATTTTTTATTTTTTTTCCATAGGTTATTGGGGTACGGTGGTATTTGGTTCCATGGGTAAGTTCTTTACTGGAGATTTGTGAGATTTGGGTGCACCCATCACCCGAGCAGTGTACACTGCACCCTATTTGTAATCTTTTATCCCTCGCCTCCCTCCCTATTAAATAATAGACCAAAAATAATGGGTTTAGAATAAATGAGTTCAAATGAATTGTCAAACGTATGTGGGAAAAGTGGAATCAGTTTTTGAGAAAAAGCAAAAAAGTCAACAGAAATGCTAATAAAGCATCATCCCTTCATGGCTAGAGCTGCCAGTACCCCAGAACACCAAAATCAGCTAGGGAAATTTTGTAGAAGTCCCAGATGTACTAAATGTTCTATGAATACACAGAGATATAATTATAACTGCTACCTGCATGTAGAGTAAAGATGAGAAGGCATTGGTCATGGTGGCAGCTACCTCAGGAGTTACAAAGCAGACGTGATTCCAGGACAGTATATGTCAGGGCAAAGCTGTCCTCGGAGGCTATTAGGAGCTGGTTATGGCACAGACATTGTAAGTCAGATGGTCTCATTACTTTCAATGACAAAACCAAAATTACTTTTGCATCAGCCAATACGACGGCCTGGCAAGAGCACAGAAAAAGGCCCTGTGCTGATGCAGCACAATTCCTTCATTCCCTTCTCCAAAACCCCCTCTTCCAATTCCACTGAAGAGAGAATCTGATGGAAGTCCTGTGTAAGCAGGCTCAGATATATCTACCACTATAGATAGTAGAGGTGATTCACAAATCCAAGCCTATCAAATACATCATAAATAAGTTACACGTTTAATTTTCTTTGAAATTAGGGATCATGATATGAAAGTTATCAGAATCAAAACTGTCACTAATGTTTAAAAAGAGAAGAAAAAACCTGAACAAATAGATTCAGAGAAGGCCTTGAAGAGAGGGTTCTCATGCTTCTAGGCCTGATAAAAACTATTACAAAATACCACAAAAACCACAACCTTGCACAAAGGCCATAGCAACCTTACACAAAATACACTTCTGTGAGGACATCTATCCAGCAACCGCCTGCCCAAACTTCAACTGACATTGACCTTGTTGTTGATCTTTATAGTTAAAGGTAACTATATCAAAACAATTATAGAAGCCTCTTCACTTTTCCCTTATTTATTTTTTTTCTACTCCTCCATACTTCCAGGTTGATCATTTTTCTTTTAAAGACCTTGTCTTCCTTTACCATTTGAATCTATATAGCTTGCTTTGTCATGCATATTCTCATTGCAGTGCCCTCCTCCCTAAGATGTGTCTTTTTCCTTTAGAGAGCCTTTCTCTGTTTGTTATTTAGGTTTACAATGAGAAGGCGTGTAAAGTATTTTTACTGTCTTCCTAGGAAAAAATCACTGACTTACAGTATTTATATTTATTTATTTACATTCCTGGGGATGAGGAGTTAAAGATTTCATACATTTTCTTATTTAGAAGATCCAAGTTTTCATGTGAGCAAAACTGAATATGTAAATTGATATGTAAATTATGCTGCAGATAATATGGTCAAATGTTTACTTGTATTTAATTTGTTACACATGAATATTGCATATGTAAGATAATATACTAAGAAATTATCACATTTAATGAAATGCTTTAATCAAATTCCTGATTGAATTTTTGATATCAATATCTTTTTCATTGTTTAATCCATCTTTAGGGTGAACAGGGCTTTATAGGCCAAAGTTATGACTTCTATCTAAATTGTCTGAGTTACAGAACTTTTTGAATTTATTATGTTGTCACAGGAAGTTTCTTATTGCTGTTTAAAGGAGTGTCTCTCAATATGAGGCAGAATGCAAACGCACTGAAGGGCATATACCTTGAGATTCTGTTACTGAAGCCAAATGTTGCCAATTTCTTGTAGATCCTGCTAGAGTTAAACTTCATTTAAGTAATCATTAAAAGCTGCATTTATTCCCTCACTTGAAATTTTGATTTCACACTATTAGGACTAATCCTCTAAGTCTTTGCTAAGTTATGTTCCTCTTTTTCTTGTAGCTTGACTTTGATGATCTCTATATGCAACTTCAATTGACATAAATTAAAGTACATTCAGGGCAAGAGAGTTTCCTTAAATATTATTTTGTTATTCAAAATAATCACAAAAGCACTCATCGTAGGAAAACTTGTGAGGACTCAAATATAGGGAAATACTTTTTCTATCTAAGGCATAATTCTGTAAAAAAATTCACCTTAATTTGAATATACATGGGAAAATATCCTTGTTCAATAATAGTCTATATTCACTGTTTTTTCTTCCCTCATAGACCAGCCGGTTCACTATTATTCTCCAAATGATGTGTTCCTCTCTAGAGTCCAGGTTATCTGCATATCTAATTTTTCCCACAAATTACTGTTTTGAATTGCACTGAATTCAATTTAAGGGGATGTCATTTATAAACAGTGCAAATATATACTGCACGAGGGATCTTAAAAATCATACGTATGGTTTGATCCATAAGCTCATATGAGCGTGCAATGTCAACTTTTTTCATGTTTTTTTAAGTCCACTTAAATTCTATTTTAAGCCACCATCTGCCTGTGCTGTTAGGGCAGTTAGCCCTCAATCATTTTAAGATGTTCCCCTCTAAGTACTGTGATAGTGATAGAGATGTCACCAGTCAAGTGTCCTAGGAAGCCGACTCCGAGTTGGAGATTTGCATGCAAGGAGGTTGAAATGATATTCCCAACACCTGTGGAAGAGCGAAAGCAATAGGATTGGGTGGAGCAGGAAGTCGGCTGGAATGCAGTCACTATCATGGCCGCAGTGCACTCTACAGGGATCTTGGTGAGTTTACCTAATGACCTCAAATTGGAGCAAGCAAACAAGGCCATTATATTTCTGTACCAAGCAGTTCTCGGTTGTGGGATGCCTTGAGAAGGGACATGGATTTGGATGAAGGAACTTTACTGTGCTGTGAGTATTGTTGACAGGAGTCAGCTGTCAACACTCCCAGGAGAAGGGGAATTATGCTTTAGTCACTGAGGCGGCATCTAGTGTCAGACCACAGCCTTGTTAAGCAGAGCCAGAATTTGGAAGATGGATGGTGGGTTTAACATTTGGGGCTTGACGTCTTGTCCCCACAAGCTGCTGCTGGCCTCTTCCTTGTCCTTTTCTGTGTGGCTTGTTTAGGCCCCCCAGCTTCCTGCTTCTTCTTTACCATATTTGGAATACAAAAATCTACACGTAATTTGGCCCATGGTCCCTTCTGCTTAGACATATCCTTGTAGCTATTTTTTTTAAAAGATGACTATGCCTTCTAGAATATTTCTAAGAAACTGCCGAAGTCACCACTGCTCACCAAGAGGCCTTCGTTTTTTCCTCTTCTTAACCATGGGAAAGGAATGTAGGAGTGTAGGGAGTGGATATTTTCTAACCTGGAAAAAACTAATTTTAACCTATATAATTTTTTTAGCAAATTCCTTCTTTGCCCTTACTCCACAATCTTTCCAAATTCTCCCAAATGCTCAAGCTTTTAAAAAACAAAAGACAGAAAGGATAGCAAGTTATTAGTTTTTCCACCAAACCTTTTCTTTCTATTCGTTTGCATCAGTGAGCTTAGAATAACTCTGCTCCTGGAACTGGGAAAGGGACTTGGGAAAAGAAAGAAAAAAAAAGCTCTCAAAGTTTAACATCACAAAACATTATAGTCATTGTTATTTTATTATTTATTTATTTATTTATTTATTTATTTTTGAGATGGAGTCTTGTTCTGCCACCAGGCTGGAGCGCAATGGTGCGATCTCGGCTCACTGCAACCTCCGCGTCCTGGGTTCAAACGATTCTCCTGCCTCAGACTACTGAGTAGCTGGGACTACAGACGTGTGCCACCACACCCAGATAATTTTTGTATTTTTAGTAGAGATGGGGTTTCACCGTGTTGGCCAGGATGATCTCGATCTCCTGACCTTGTGATCCACCCACCTTGGCCTCCCAAAGTGCTGGGATTACAGGCATGAGCCACCGTGCATGGCCTTGCTTTGTAATTTTTACATCATATATCCCGTGTTAGACCAAGAGCTTGTAAAAGCCAGAAGACATACACCATTTATAGTTCAATTAGATGTTCACTGATAAAACTGATTCTTCCATCTGAGGGTGGTATTTGTAGTTACAGTAATGTAGATGACAATCTAAGTTATGTTCTATAAACTGTGTCACTGACATCTCAATCTACAGCTAACTTTAATTTTTTAAAAGCAGAGGAGTGGGTTGTACAGGTTTAGAAATACATCCATTAAGCTAGTTAAGTGAGATAGATTCAAACCTTCAACTCACTGGAATATTTATCAAATTGTCTATTCATTAGCTAAAGGAATCATATAAACAAGGTACTTTTCAAAATTCAAAATTATGTAAGGTTTTATTTCCTTTTTATGCTGTTATGAATTGGATTGTAGAGGTTATAAGGTAAAATAAGATTACTTTTACAATAAAACATACAACACATTGTCACAAGAGGGCAGCCTTTGAACATGAATTTATTCTCAGGCATTCCTTGAAATTTTGAGACAGTTACTTTAATTAACACAACTAAATAATAAAACACTACAGAAGATTTAAGAAGATACTTTGACTTATGCATATTGTTACTTTTTTATTACTGCTAGTGGAAGATGTAATCGATAAGGAAGGTAAGGGCTGAATTTGTTTTATCTAAAAAGACAAATTTCTTTGGGTTTTAACTTTCAAACATCAAGATAGTAGGTCAATGTCTAAATGAGTGTATCAAAGTTCTCACACTAGCACATGTAAATCCACCTCTTATCTACCCAAAACTCTAACCAAGCAAGGGCAAGTTGGAAGAATCAGACAAATGTAAGTGCCTAGGATACATAAATGCCACTGGATTTTATGTTTTTAACTTTCAACCTCCCAAGTTTCAGTAAGAGACATGTTATTTGGAGAAGTTGCTAAAGTGTAGTTGTATGATGTCTCTGTGTACGGTTAGTCTGGACCTCTTTCTGTCCAGTGGTTGCCCTCAACTGATTAGAGTCACCTCTCTAAAGATCATGCTTATGTCCCTGGAGCAGTCCACAGCACTATCAATGTCTGATCTCCACCTTTTTCCAATTAATATTTCTGTACTTACTGAATTGGAAAACATACAGGTGATTTTTTCCTGGTCACTTGTGGTTTTACAACACTCCCCCCACTTCCCCACCACTGCCCCAGGTTATTTTGATGCCAGCCAAAGTGTGAGAACTACTGGCAGCTGCTGGCAGACAGCAGCAAAGGCCCAAATCCTTGGTGTGATTTCAAGACCCATATCTGGTTTTCAGCCATATTTCCTTCTCCTTCTCACAGCTGAGCCCACTCCTCCTCCCTCACCACCTGTAGGCTATGCTTTCCAGCCTGTGTCCAGGATTAGTCCTGATGTAAGGCACGTGGGGTTTAAGGATCTCTCTCTTCAGTCTTATTTCCGCACCATCTCTGACAGATATATTCCAGTTGTGATCATGGGGCTACCTCCTTTTGTTTCCAGTCCCATGCTCTTTTTCTCTATCACATTCTACCTTGTAATAACCTAAATCTTCTGGTGGGCAAGTTCTTCCTCAATCAAATTTGTGTTTATGATTGTGTTGGGGATTGGCTTAGTAATCCAGGTACTGCTACTGCCTTGAAAGCGGAGACTGCATCCTTCTGTCTGGATTTCTTGAGTTTCTGGATTGTAAACCTTATTGGGGCCCATTTTTCCTAGAATTGGGGCCTCTACTTTGTTCTTGCTACCTTAGTTCACCCAGAAAGCACGATCTCTGCCTGAATTTCAAAGGGTTGGCTAGTTTAAATATCCTTTTGTGAGACTTTTGTCTTCCTGTGGGGTGATTTTTTCATCTTACATAACATTGCTAATCTTTTTATCTTGAATGTAATTGAAATAGTTTTAATCTGTGTTACCAGCAACAAGAACCCCTTTTATGAGATGGAGAGGCCAGGTCAGTCTCATAACATGTGTCCCCCTCCGTGTGTTGAATTTATGTCAGAGCCAGGTTCTTTCCTATTTGATGTCTCTCACCAAATTCCAGTGTTTATGTCCTAGGAGGTGCCCAATAAATTCTAGAGTTGATGCAAGCTGTAATTTTAGAGAAATTAAGTTAGCAAGTAGAATTAGATTATATACAATCTAATCAACTTTTTTTTTTTTTCTGAGGATGACCAAGATTTGGGCTTCAGTGACAATAGATGTCCCCTAAATATTTATACTCAGAATCTAGGATCACCAGTACAATGTTGAATAGAGGTGATGAACACACACATTCCTTTCTTGTCCTAATCTATGTAGTTTAAATATTTACGCTTTCACCATTAAATATAATGTTTATATGTCTTGTTGTGGATGCTTTCCATCACTTTGAGAAAATTTCCTTTTCTAGCTTGCTGAGAGTTTTTTTTTAAATCAGCAATAGATATTTCTCCAAAGAAAATATCCAAATGACCAACAGATACATGAAAAAAATGCTCAGCATCACTAATCATCAGGGAAATGCAAATCAAAACCACAAAGAGATATTGCCTCAAACCTGTTAGAATGGTCTTATTAAAAGAAAAAATAACGAGTGTTAACAATCGGGAGAAATTGGAACACTTCTACAGTGTTTCTGGGAAAGTAAAACTGTGCAGCCTCTATGGAAAACAGTACGGTGGTTCCTCAAAAAAATTAACAAACTAGAACTACCATATGATCTAGCAATCCACTTCAGGCTATTTATCTGAAAGAATAGAGATTGGGATAATTCTCAGGCTCATTGCAGCATTATTTACACTAATCAAAATGTGGAAATGAGGTTAATGTCTATTGGCAGATGAATAGATAAAGAAAATGTGGTATATTCATACAACGGAATATTATTCAGCTTTAAAACAAGAAAGCCCGGCAATATGCAACATGGATGAACCTAGAGGACATTAATGCTAAGTAAAGTAAATCAGTCACAGAAGGACAAACTGTATGATTCCACTTGTATAAAGTATCTAAGATAGCCAAATTCATTAGAATCACAGATTAGAATGGTGATAGCTCTTTAAGTTGAAATCAATTTTGCATTCCTGGGTTTTGTAGTTTTGCTATCAGGATTCTGACACATAAAAAAAGTTTGGAATTTCCCCCTCCTTTATTTCTGAAATAATTTAAAAATTTTATTTTTTTTAAACCTTTGAAAGAATTCACCAGCAAAACTCTTTGGATGTGGAGTTTGCTTATTTTTTTTAATTTCTTTAGTTTTATGTTTTTATGTGCAGGTATTTAACAATTAATTTAATTACTTTAATAAATGTCAATTACTTCATATGTTCCATTTAATCTTGTGAATTTTTTTATAAGTTTTTTTCAAGGAATTCACCCTTTCATCCAAGTAATGAAAATTAGTATAAAATGTTTCACAATATTCCATTATCTTGTTAATGTCTCTTGTGTCTACAACTGTACAGTCTCATTAATCCATGATATTTATAATTTATGTTTTCTTTCTTTCTCACAGAACTAACTTTTGGTCATGATGATTTTCTCCTGTTTCTGTTTTCTGTCTCATTGATTTCTAATTTCTGTTTTATTTCTTTTCTTCTACTTGTTTTGGACTTAATTTGCTCTCTTGTTTTAGATTTTCTTCTTAAGGTAGAAAATTAGTTCACTTGTTTTGAACTTCTCTTTTTTAGAATAAGCATTTATACAAAAAATTTACTCTGGGTCTGCTTAACTTTATCCCATACATTTTGATATAGTATATTTTTATTTGTATTCAGTTCAATGTATTTAAAGGTGTTTCTTATGATTTCTTCCTTGAGCTAAAGGGCATTTTAAGATGTATTTAAATCTTCCAATAGTGTAGACTTTCCTGGGTAGCTTGTTTTTACCCATTTCAACTCATTTTCATTATGGTCAGAAAGCATACTTTCTATGATTACAGTGTTTTGAAACTTCTTGAGAGATATTTTGTGGTCTATAGCCTATTGATAAATGTTTCATGTGTAGCATAATAGAACATATATTCTATTGTATTGGTCAATATCGATTAGGTCAAGCTGTTGTCAAAATTATTTTATCTTAATTTTCTTTAGTTATTCTGTCAGCAGTACAGCATTATGTCTTCATAATTACTTGACATTTTATCATTATGAAATAGCTGTCTGTTGTAATATTGCTTGTTTGGAGGTCTACATTTTCTTATATTAATATAGCCACATAAGATTGCTTTTGTTTGTTGTTTCCTTGGTATACTTGGAAATTATTTCACTCTCAACTTATCTATACCATAATATTTGGCATGCATCTCTTATAGGTACTTTTATTATCCAGTTGGACAATCTGTGTTTTATTTGGAGTATTTAAATTACATTTGAAATAATTATTGAAAAGTTTGGATTTAAGCCTACTATTTTTGCTTTTCTTTTTTTTTTTTTTTGAGACGGAGTCTGGTCCTGTTACCCAGGCTGGAGTGCAGTGGCGGGATCTCGGCTCACTGCAAGCTCCGCCTCCCGGGTTCATGTCATTTTCCTGCCTCAGCATCTGGAGTAGCTGGTACTACAGGCTCCCGCCGCCATGCCCGGCTAATTTTTGTATTTTTAGTAGAGACGGGGTTTCACCGTGTTAGCCAGGATGGTCTCGATCTCCTGACCTCGTGATCCACCTGCCTCGGACTCCCAAAGTGCTGGGATTACAGGCTGAGCCACTGCACCCAGCCTATTTTGCTCTTATGTTCTATTTGTTCCATCATTTTTTGCTCCTCTGTTCTTTCTTTCATACCTTTTTATATTAACTGAACAATATTCAGGGTTCCATTTTAATTCCTTTATTGGCATTTTAGAAGAATATCTTCATATAATGTGGTGGTTCTCTAGGGATTATAATAAACATCCTGGGCTTATCGCAGTCCACTTAGTGTTAATAGTCAACGTTTTCATGTAACATAAAGAAAAGTTGCGGCAAAATTGTTGCGTTTAGTCTTCTGTCAGAGCTATTAATTTAGAATATTTTACATACATTATCAATAGTACACTTAATTTTTTATTCAAACCATCAGTTGTTTGTTATAAAACTAAAAGAAAAAAGCCTTAGTTTTTCATGTTTATGCACATGCCATTCCTAGAGCTTCTCCTTGCTTCCTGCAGGTCAGAATTTCCATCTGTTGTTAACTTTCTTTAGCCTAAAAAATTTCCGTTTGCATTTCTTGTATCTAGGTCTGCTAATGACAATTGTTTGAAGCTTTCTTTTATCTGAATAAATCTTTCTTTTCTCAAGAATTACTTTTTCTAGTTATAGAATTTGGAGTTGACAGTTTTCTTTTATTTTGAAGATGTAGTTTCATTGCTTTTTAAAGTGTCATTTCTGATGACAGGTCATCTGTCTATTTGTTTCCACGTATGTAAATTATTTTCTCCCTCCCTTTAGCTACTTTCAAGATTTACTCTTTTTTGCCCAGTGGTTTGACTATGGTGTGTCTACATTTGGTTCTCTTTATTTTTATTTTGTTCTTTGAGTTTCTTAAGCCTGTAAATTGATATATGCTGACAATTAGGAAAACTTTTGGTCTTTACTTTTTCAAATAGCTTTTTCTGTCTCATTTTCTTCTCTACTCTTTCTAGGAGTCCAATTATATTAGTGCTAGACTGGCCCTATTTTTATTATTTTTCTTCCTTTGTATTAACTGTATTGGGAAATTGTTCTTGATCTGTTTTTAAGTGCACTGATAGTTTTTTCTGCCATCTTTAATTTACTGGTATGTGCATACAATGACATTTTTATATAAGATATTCAGTCTCTCAGTTCTAAAATTTGTCCTGTTATCTCTTTATCGTTTTTACTTCTCTGTTGAGATTCTCCATATATTCCCTCTTATGACCATCTATTCCTTAAATCCTTGAATATGCTTGCAATAGCTTATTTTAAATTTCTTATCTTCTAATCCCAGCATGTGGGCCATTTCACTGTCTTAATCCATTGTTTACTTTTTTTGTTATGCATCATATTTTCCTGGTTTTATGTCTAGGCAGGTTAAATTATATGTTAGATTATGTGTATGATATTTTATAGAGATAGGATCTTCTATTTTCGTTTGAAGAGTGACTCTTTTCTAACATTAGTCTTTTTTCTGTAGTCAAACACCAAACTTTCACTCCTGAGCTATATGCAATGGTTGAAATCTCTGCTCTGTACTAGCAATTTAGCTGTTGTTTTCTGCTAGATTCTATGGAGTCTCTTTTTATGAATGTGAAATGTAGCAGCCATCTTATATCTGAATGAAGTTGAAGTGCTGATTTTAGATTTTTACTCTGTGACATTCTCCTCTGTGACTTTCAGTTGTGTGAGATTTCCTCCCATGTCATTCAAATTTCCCAGTTCTTCTTTTCTGTCAGCCTGGAACTCTGTGCTCTTATTCCTCAAGCTAGTAAAACTCACCACTTTACTCGTAGACATCTAATTTTGCACAGACTGGGAAGCTTCATGAGGTGTGAAGTTGCACTGATGCAAATTTAAATCATTGCAATTTTCTTTATTCAATGGTCAAATACTTCATCAGTGGTTGAATATTCTACTATTTCTGCCTGTTTTCTGTTTCTCATTGCCATCAAATGTGTATTTAATTTTTTTTACAGTTAATAGTTTTTTTCCCTGCATTTGAGTTAGACCTGAGCTACTACCACATTTTGTAATTCAAACTTTTTGTCTAACAATGTTTTAAAAAACTCTTTATTTGGAGGGAATTCTCAAATTTCTAAATATTCTACAAACATTAGGATCAGGGCTCACATTCCCAGTTTCCCTTGTAGCCAGATGTACACATGGAAAATGGCTTCAGCTAATGAAGCATACCCACATATTTGAAACTCAGAAAAGTGTTAAGAGGAACTGTAGATATCATTTTAGTTGATGCAAGGATGGAAAAAAATAACCAACTTTCACTGGTGAACTTTGTCTTCAATCATTGTTTTCCCGTGGGTAAGTGGCTAATTTTCTGGCCTAGAGGTGGAATTGGTGTGTTGGTAACAATTGATTTGATGATAACCTGTTTTTGTCTTTTTAAAAATTGCTAATCCACCATTGTTTCTGGTCCTGTTTTTTACTTATGCAGTGTATAATCTCTCATGCAACATTTAGTTCTTTGTTTCTCAGCTTAAAGTGGATTTTGATGAGCAGTTTTCAACTTCAAATGAAAGAAATGGCTTTGGTTGATGTTAGACAAAAATAAAAAGATGGAGTTAAAGAAATATGTTTGTCATCTTGTAATATTAAATAAATGAAACTGAAAATTCAACAATTCTGCTTCATAAAAAATAGAAATTTTCTACTGTTTTTCATTATTTTTGAAGCTATATGGTTAAATGAAATTTCTGCCTCATGGAAGGTTTTTAGAACTATGTAATAATACCATACAGACCATTAGGAGAGAAATGAATAAAGACTGAAAGAAGTAAGCACCGTGTGGTAACGTAGATGGCACATAGTTGTGTGCATGGAGCCCTAATACATTTGACCATGGAATTTATACAATAAATGTTAGTTTCCTGTGAACCTGCTAATTAATATGACTTTCTCAAACATTTCCTTAACCTAAACAGTTTAGGTTTCCTGTAGATAGACTGCATGTATTCTCATCCTTAACCTTTCCATAATCTTCCCTAATTACAGATGTCATTGGTTCCTAATAGCAAAAGAACAGCAGTAGCTTATAAAGTTATATTATTTGTTTTTTACTAATATGTGAAGTGATTTTGTCTTTCATTTCACCTCTAAAGCTAATTATGTCTTCTAAGTTAACAAAAATTCCAGATCATACCATCATTAGTTTAAACTTTACAATGAATTCATTCTTTCCGTTTGTTACTAGCCTGCATTATAGAAATATTTAGCTAATGAATTCTCAAAATATTTCTTGAAAGGTGAAAGAGTACCTCAAGTAAATGGTGTAGTTAATTTATTTATCACAATTTTAAATTAAGAGTTCTGTTTAATCTCAAAGGGGTACCAATGAAGTTAGGGCATAAGGAGTCCGTGGTTAATAAAATGGCAAGAATTAAAAAAGATTATTACATTTTTTCCTCATACTATGATGGCTATAATTTTTTAAAACAGTAGAAATGTTTAATTTTTAAAGGCTACTAGTGTCTATTTAATTCAAAGATGTGAGGTCTTCAGTTCAACTTGTTGTTTGAAATTTGAACAGCTTTTTCTTGCTGTTGTTCAATACAGTTATTAAACAGTCCAGGCAGGCCTCTGGAGTTACATATAGTATGTGGCTATGTGCGTATATATACATAGAAGTAGAAATAGCATATAATCAATTTACATAAGACTTTTGCTTTTGATGAAAATTCTTCTAAAAGTGAATATAAATTAATAGCATATGGAGCCTACAAAAATTGTCTAATAGGGAAGTAGGAAAATATAATTTGTGAAGAAAAAGTTCGCTAAAACAGACTTTTTATTTTTACATGTAATAACTTTATATTGAAGGGTTTCCAGAAATATAAAATGTTATAGGGCACTTATCATGAGACACACGAAGGAGACAAGGGATAGAGCTAGGATGGAAGTGAAAATAAAGGACAAATAGAGATAGATACTTAAGTGGAAATGAAACACTGCATGTTCTCACTCATAGGTGGGAATTGAACAATGAGAACACATGGACACAGGAAGGGGAACATCACACACCAGGGCCTGTTGTGGGGTGGGGGAGGGGGGAGGGATAGCATTAGGACATATACCTAACGCTAAATGACGAGTTAATGGGTGCAGCACACCAACATGGCACATGTATACATATGTAACTAAACTGCACGTTTTGCACATATGCCCTAAAACTTAAAGTACAAAAAAAAGTCATCAAACAGGTGGTAATTTTAAAACATGGCTTTTACAGGCAGCAAATTTTCTGAATGTATCGCAAAAGAAGATAAATTGTGTGTCTATGTAGGTCATGTCAATGAAATAAACAATAAAGGTTACTTATTGGAATATTGAAAGTGGTTGATAATAAATTAATTATTTATATTTATGGTAAAAGCAATAAACTTGATTTTTAGGGGGTTCAATGACTTCCTGAAAATATCCTCTCACAGATTTTCTAACAGTGTCTAGTTGGCAAAAGCACAGCTCCAAATAGCTATTTCTGTCAACGTCTACAGAACATTTACAGTTCGATTTCCAAAAGTTTCCATTTCTACTGACCTTACAAATTTGTAAAATGAATGCCCACCAGGAAAAAATATTAAGTGATAAAATTAATTGGATCCTACAAGTGAAAATCTAGGCAAGGAAAATCTTCCTTCTTAATGAATGATTTTTATGTCTCTTCATTCTTGTCCTTCTAGGTAGAGCAACACTCTGGAGACCTTATTTTGAGGCATTTCACCACCAGAGTAAGTGTGATGTATGACTAATTAGTCCACCCACAGGGAGCTGGTGAAATTAAATTGGAAGTTATTTCTTAACTGGCATATCTTGGAGTAAAATTCATCTAATAACAGCTTTCATAAGAGAACATAAGCTTAAAAGACAACATTTTTCATTCAACTTTACCAAACAAAGTGCAAATTTAGGTGTCCAGTTGTGAAGTTTGGTTGTGTGTGGATTGTACAGTGAAGGTACCAGTGGACAACAGTTGCTCATCAGGCAAGTTTATACAAAAGCTTTTGGACAAGTCCAGCTCTAGATAAAATTCTAAAATATTTCATGCTTGTGTTCAGAGTTTCTTTTTCTCTCTCCAAGGTAACACACATATCAAAAGACATATGGGTTGTGGGTAGAACTTCCTAAAATTGCTGGTGAGAAGTGTGCCATGCATAAACATACTTCACTAGCTTGAATTTTCTGTTAGTCTCACAGGAAACAATTACAATCCTGTATGTTTTTCTATCTCCACACACTCCTGAACATAGAAAGACCAAGTAACATCCCTGGTTAAGATGTGTACAGGTTACAAGACATGTCTAAATATATTCACCAAGAGGTTTATTATTTTCACAATGGCATTCACTAAATCAGTTGTCAGTGTAGCATTACTCAAGGAATAAGCAGCGTCTTTAATTTATCAAAGGTTGGAGTCCACCCCAAGATGGATCACTGAAGCACATAACTATAGATAAGGTCACTCAAAAGCACAAATCCAGGTAATAAATATTCAGTAGTAGTTTATATGCATTTAGCAATTTGAATGCTGGGAAATGTAGCCCAGAAAATCAATCGACATTGAACTATTAAAGAGGCATTCATGGCACCTGCACTTTGAATCTCTTCAGACTCAGGTTAAACAGGAGACACGGTAGCTCATGTATACTGCAAAAACCCTTCCTCTTTCCTTTTTTATCTATGAACCTGCCCTTTTCAATGTTATCTAGATGCCTGAAGGTATGAATACCCTTGATCTTAGTAAAAAATGGTACCACCCATCAGCAAAATCTCACTGATCAGTGTCTATGTTACCTCACTGAGTTAGCCTTTTGTGTTGTTGTGGCCCAGGATGACAATGTTGACAGAATCCAAACCAGTAGTTGGAAAGTTAATGTTGGATGCGTCTTTGACAATTGATGGAATGACCTGAAATCAAATGTGAGGCAGTGGAGACACAAGAATGCTATTCAGGCAGTGAGTGATCTGTGGAGATACTAAATGAAATATCTGGAAGGAATTGTAATCTTGCAACTATGCTTTTATGTGTTTTTTGACATAAACAGTTTCTATTTATGGTGAAGCTGCAGTGTCCATTTCCCATGCAGTTCCCATAGTGTTAACTAATACAGTCATGTGTCACTTAATGACAGGGGTGTGTCTGAGAAATGCATTGCTGGACAATTTTATTAATGTATGAACATCACAGAGTTTACTTACACAAACCTAGATGCTATAGCTGATTACATACCTAGGTTAAGTGGTATAGCTTATTCCTCCTAGGCTACAAACCTGTGCAGCATGTTACTGTACTGAATACTGTAAGCAATTGTAACACAACAGTTAAGTATATCTATACTTATTTGTATCTATACAGTAAGTGTATCTATACATGTCTAAACATACAAGAGGTACAGTAAAAGTACAGTGTTATGATTTTATTGCACCACTGTCATACATGTGCACTATCCTTGACCAAAATGTTGTTATGTGATGCATGATTGTAACAAAAGAATTAATTAAAGATAATATTTAAGTGCCTATTGAGATTTCAATGAAGAAATGAATATTTGTAAATTCTGATTACCTTAAGTGGGAATTGACTTTCTTCCTGTTTCCATGGCTGTTCTTGTGAAAGAGCACAGCTTTCCAAAACCTGAAATCTCTGACAAATCTTGCAATTCTCTATTGCCTGCAGTATGAAGGTCACCTGGTATCAAATGAGGCAAAATGGTAGATTATAAAGACCTGTACTTTCTTGTCAGTTCCTAAACATAGCAAGCGTTGGTCTATCTTGAACATTTCTGCAGTTATAAACTAGCCTTGGGTCATGATTTTCTGCCTTTTTATCATAAACAAGATTTAATTTATGAGATGTCCTTTTAATGTGTAATGTGAATAGTAAGTGCCACTTATGAAGCCCTATTTTCTTCCAGCCATTTTAATTGTCAAATCTGTCCAGTCAAGATGCATTGTTAGAGGCTTCACTGACAACACGTCTGTGTGTGTGTGTGTGTGTGTGTGTTTGTATATACATACATATGATTGAGCAGGATTTAATGTAAGTCAAAACAGTCTCAAATTTCTTAGGACAATACAGCTTCCTTGGTCATTCCCTTGGAGCTCTGAGTTGAGGAGCTGGTGATGTGTATTTCTTTTGTATGTTCTCCACATTATCCTTATGCAGGCCTTCCATGGGCTTGGTTTTTGAACCAGTGATGAGGAAGATCATTAGAATTGTTTTGCTCAAAAAGATTCCTCCATTCTTCTGTATAAGCAATGGCAATTTTCCCAGGCCAATATTTCTTCTTTTGAAATGGTAAATTTTGAATATTAACTGGTTAGTATAATCCCATAAAATAACAAAGTTTGAGCCCTATGAACTGTGTTTTAGGCCAAAGTTGTGTTTTATGCTAAATCATCATTTACTCCTTGTATGATCTTTTTTTTTTTTTTTGACACAGAGTCTCGCACTGTCACTCAGGCTGGAGTGCAGTGGCACAATTTTGGCTTACTGCAAGCTCCGCCTCCCAGGTGCACACCATTCTCCTGCTTCAGCCTCCTGAGTAGTTGGGACTACAGGTGCCCACCACCACACCCGGCTAATTGTTTTTTAAGATTAAGGGTGAAATCAAAGCTGCTCCCCTATATTACATTCATAAATCAGAATGATTAAAGCAAGCTATTTATTTATTAGAAACACATACTCCAAATTAAGCATCTAAGACATGACAGCCTTTCAAGAGACATCAATTTACTTTTTAGGGTCTATAGCTATATTTGTATTCATGTTATTGGTGTCCATAATATTTCATTAGATGTTCTGGGTAAATTGATAAATGAAAATTATGTATGTGATAAGGAGAACAACCTAGGCCTCCTGGAGGGCCCCTTACAACTCAGCTGGTGTTAGCAGAAATGCCTGGGTGTAACAGTGAGAAACAACCTTTCAAAAGTTTTGAGCAATTTTTCAGGCAGAGGAATATGTATACCAATCCAGGCAGCAAGATAAGTGGAGGTCAGTTAAAAGATCAGTGTGTGATTACATTTCATTTTTAGGTTTCTACTGAGAGGAAATATGACACTCAGTTATTATTTTCTCTGCATACCTCTGGTTATTTTGTCACAACCTTTTATGTAAGCTACTACCAAACACTGGATTATCCAAGATCTATGGGTCGTATTCAATATTTCCTTTTCCCTCAACTATTAACACGTTTGATTCCCTTTGGAACTTTCTCCCCTATTTCTCCTTTCAACCTATTTTCTCCAACCACACTGAGTTAATAAGCCTCTTATATACTCTCATACCCTGTTTTATCTAAAGAGATTTCCTTTTTCTACTATTATACCCACCTCATTCCCTAATTTATTTCTTCTTATTTCTCTCTCTATTTTTCATTCTTTTAGGCACAGCTCATGTCTCATGACTTTCAATAAGTTTTTCTTCTGATATTCCCAGCTCGAATTAGGTACATCCCAATCAGTTTCCTTAGACTTACAAGTCTGCATATTATTGGCTTGCAATCTGTCTTAGGCTGGGAATTAGCTCCTTGTAGGCAGGGGCTAGAATTTATTTCCTCTTATGTCCATAATGCCTGACACAGGAACTATTCTCACATACAAATTGTAGGGCCATAATGCCTGAGAACATATGTATATTGTAGTGACTCATAAAGGCTTGAAATAAATTTTTAAAATGATTAATTGGGAAGTCCATGAACTTGACATCTTGATGTAGAAGAAAAGCAAGGGCAGATGAAGAAGTTATACAGGATACTTGAAATACCAGAAGAATATAATCAGAGAGCAATAAATTAATCTTAGATTTTTAGATGTGAAGAAGTTCTGAGAAATATTTGAAGACATGGCTCTAGGGATGAGTACATAACAGAGACCATTAGCCAGATTCAGAGCTTTTCAGAGTGAAGAAATTGCTTTGCAGGGGGAAGGACTGTTGTATACTAAATAGAATTTGTCATTAAATGGAAGACTAAGCAAGAGGCTGATGATCTGTGGATGAGAGACGCAAATAGGTGTGGAGATAGAGGTAAATGCCATAATCTACAAAGAAGATATTTTTGAACCAGAAAGAAATAATAGGTCTAGAAAGTAATAAAAGATAAATAGTTAACTACATTGTAATGTGGTCTGAGAACTCACTAAAGGCATAGCCATTGATATTAACTTCCACTTTGCTTCCAGACAAAATATTTTAAATATCTTAAAAATTGCATTTGATATTATGTGATTCATCAAGACAGAAAGTAAAGCTGTAGTTGCCCTGGGAGGGCAGGGAATGGGGAGTCACTTTTTAATGGGTGACAAAAGACAAAAAGAATTATGGAGATGGGTGGTGGTGATGCTTGCACAACATTGTGAATACATTTAATGACACTGAATTGTATACTTAACAGTGGTTAAGATGCAAATTGTTGAGTGTGTTTTGCCACAATTAAAAAATGGAAAACAATAGTATTTGAAGATATGGCCCATTTCATCTAGTAGCTAGCTGTATGTGTCTGCTCAGCTGTGGATAGATATTTATGCTGTTTCTGAACCGGAGGTTACTGGTGTTCTCTAAGGTATAGGAAAATTGATCTTATGTGGCTAACTGAGGTGGATATAGTTGTATCAGTCAGACAGTAATGATATAATCATGATAGTTTACATTTAACACAATTTACATGTGTTATACTTTAGAAAGCACTTCATAGATATTATTACTTCATACCATTTTCCCCTTACCATATTTGTCTCTCCTTTCTCTGTTGACTTCAGAAAATGTCTCTTCCACACTACTCAATTCATCTCCTTATTTTGGAGAAATTTTAAGTCTCAGAGTCTCCAAAAAAAAAACTCCAGACAAGTCTCATCAGCTTTTGGTCATTGATTAATCAATGCCCTTAGAGGCTTTCCCTTCCCCTTCTCAATTTAACATAGCTTCCAAATACACTTGCCAGTAAAACAAAGTTGTTTATATGGTTTTGTATTTCTTCCTGTTGAATTATGAACATTTTTTCATATTGACATTGATTTCCATCTGGCCATGAAATACTCAAGGTGAAGAAAATGAAATAAAATTGTTAATATTTATCAAGAGCCAGGTACTGTTTTCAGTGTCCTAGAAGCATAAACTAGTGTAATGCTCACCTCTCATATGAGAGGCAATAATGGATGAAACTATAAGACCAAGACACAGAGAGTTAAGGGAAATTTCCCAAGATCACACAGCCACTGAGGATATGAACTAGATTTTGACTTCAGGCTATTTACCCCAGAACCTGTGCTTTCAGCCGTCATTTGTGCTGCTTCCCTAAATTACACTTGAGTACACTGTGACGTAAAATTTCACCCAGGACACTGATTATCTGGGGAATATTTGCAACTTATTCTGAATATGACTCAGTTTTCTTTTCTGTACAGAGATAAAGTCAGTATATACTCCATAGATTCGTTATAAGTATTATATGAAATGACACATGAGAAGGCTTTAAAAGGACTTGGAAAGCAATAAGCTTTTTTGTTTTCAATCATTTTTCAATAGGTTATCAGTGTTGTGAATGGTTCATGAAAAATGACTTTGGGCTCAGTGAGTAACTGAAATGTTGTTGCCTAATAGTGTGTTTAATATTAATATAATAGTAACAAATGTTATTGTTGAGTAATAGTTATTTGGCTTTTCACTGCTTTTCTTTTCTAGTGTTTTAGTCAGAGACTTCTTAAGTCTCCTCAAGTGTGTACACATTTCTTAAATTTGTTGGAAAGTACCAAATATAAGATATCTTGCATTTTTTTTCTTCCTTAGTAAACACTAAATTCCATCACGCAGCAGAAAAAGGGCTCTGTTATTGTCGGTACAATGGTTTAATATTCACTTTTATTCCCTGTATTGTAGTTCTGATTTAATTGCTATTTAGAATAAAACTTGTTCCTTATTATATGCATTCATAATTATAAAATTTGTGTTTTAATGCCTTCTACACATATACTGTACTTTTCTTTATTTCCTTATATCTTTTACTGTTTCATGATCCTGGTATGTGAAATCTCATTAAGTGTTGTTGGGGGATTTGCTGGGAATCTCATCTACATAGTAATGTCTCAAGTTTGTAGCATCTTTAAATCATAATAGGAGATGGAATTC